>NC_000001.11:204396708-204548223 GCF_000001405.40 Homo sapiens
TATCAAAACTCATTGAATTCATACTTAAAATGAGTGAAACTTATTGTAAATTATACTTTAATAAGTTAATAAAAAACAAGAAGTGGGTTGGGGAGACGTTGCTCAAAGGATACAAACTTTCAGTGAGGAGGAATAAGTTCAAGAGATCTACTGTACGACATGGTGACCATAGTCAATAACAATGTATTATATTCTTGCAAATTGGCCAGGTGAGGTGGCTCACACCTGTAATCTCAACACTTTGGGAGGCAGGAGGAACACTTAAGCCTAGGACTTCAAGACCAGCCTGGGCAATATAGGGAGATCTCGCCCCTACAGATAACTTAAAAATTAGCCTGTTGTGGTGGTGTGAGCCTGTGGTCCCAGCTACTCGGGAAACTGAGGCAAGAGGATTGCCTGAGCCCAGGAGGTTGAGGCTGAAGAAAGCCATGATCATGCCACTGCACTCCAGCTTGGCAACAGAGCAAGGTTCTGTCTCAAAATAAATAAATACATAAATAAATAATAAAATAAAATAAAATAAATAAATAAAAAGCCCAGGCGTGATGGCTCACGCCTGTAATCCCAGCACTTTGGAAGGCCAAGGCAGGCAGATCACCTGAGCTCAGGAGTACGAGACCACCCTGGGCAACATGGGGTGAAACCTGTCTCTACTAAAATACAAAAAATTAGCCGGGTGTGGTGGCACGCGCCTGTAGTCCCAGCTACTTGGGAGGCTGAGACATGAGAATTGCTTGAGCCCAGGACGCGGAGGTTACAGTGAGGCGAAATTGCACCACTGCACTCCAGCTTGTCTCAAATAAATAAATAAATAGAAAAAGGAAATTGCTAAGAGTAGATTTTAAGGGTTCTTACCACAAAAAAAATGCTAAGTATGTGAGGTAATACATGTTAATTAGCTTGACTTACCATTCCACAATGTACACATATTTCAAAACATCATGTTGTAGACAGTAAACATATACAATTTTTGTCAATTTAAAAAACAGAAAAGTTTAAAAAACAATGTCCTCAACCATCTTAGAAAACTGGATATGAATGGTATCCTGCATAATGAAGTGCCTTTCATAACGATGACAATGTTTCAGCGAACCTTAGGCTACCACTGGAAAGAGTAGTCATGACGACCTTACATCAACTGATTTAAAACTTTGGGTTTCAGGTCATCACTAATAATGCTAGCTTTTCAAAAAAAAAAAAATCAAATACTACAAATACAAAATAATGTAAACATTGAAGATAGACCTTTTCACATACAAAATTGCTTCTTTGAAATGAATTCATAAATTACTTGTTATGTCGGGAGGGAGCCTGTGTGTTGGAAAAAAGAGGCTATGGAAATTACCACTTGAGTTAAAGAAAAGTGTATCATGTGTCTAAAATACTCTGGTCACTGCGCAGACCCTTCCACCACAGAGGAAGAAAGGAAAGAGCAAATCACAATTAAAATTCAATGTGACTTGAACAGTGATAAAAAAGTATACAAGGGCCAAGTGAGGTGGCTCATGCCTGTAATCGCGACACTTTGGGAGCCCCAGGCAGTAGGATCTCTTGAAGCCAGGAGTTTGAGACCAGCCTAGGCAATATAATTAGACCCCATCTCTACACACAAAAATAATAAAATTAGCCAGGCAATGTGGTGCATGCCTGTGGTCCTAGCTACTTGGGAGGCTGAGGTGGGAGGATTGTTTAAGCCCAAAAGTTGGAGGCTGCAGTGAGCTATGACCGTGCCACTGTACTCCAGCCTAGGCCTGGGCGACAGCAAGACTCAAAAAAAAAATCAGTTCCTTTGTTTGTGTTCAAATACAAATCTTGGTTCTCCTATAAGAAAGAGCCCCTACTTCTGGGTAATTACCACAAAAAGGTGGAGTCACACTGGGCCAGGCAGGCCTGGAATGGGCAGGGCAGGGCAGTTTTCCAGCTTGTTTACACATTGAGGGACCCACCTCCAGGGGAGCAATAGCAACCAGATCTGTAATAACAGGTGTCCATCAGGCACTCCCAGATGGAAGATAACGCCATCTGGTGGAGACAACAGAGCATCACTAGAAACCCAAAGCCAATCTTCTGCCAAAGAGCTAAAACCCCTGGTGTGGTGGCAAGAATACTCTGGTACTCCAATGCAGCCTATTAATTCTGGGAAAGGAGGGTCTCAGTTGATTTGCTCGCATATTAAATTCATAAATTAACAATGTGTCTTATATTAATAATGACACTAGAATTAATGGATGTGGTATACCTAGCCAAATTGAAATTTGTAATTACTTTCTACAAATTTAGTTAAAGCTTACGGTAGCTTTTCTCTAAGGACATTTAAATTCTGTGATTCTACATCATCTGATGATTGTGGCACACTTGTTTCTGGTCAGACAAGGCTGTGTGGATGAAACTTCAATAAAGCTGATAAGAGAGGTGACTTTGGGAAAGCTATTAACTTGGCCAGGCCCAGTGGCTCACACATGTAATCCCAGCACTTTGGGAGGCCAAGGCAGGAGGACTGCTTGAGGCCAGGAGTTGCTATATGGGCAACATAGCCAGACCCCATCTCTATTTATATATATTAAAAAAAAGAGTCCAGGCGTGGTGGCTCACGCCTATAATCCCAGCATTTTGGGAGGCCAAGGCAGGCAGCTCATGAGCCCAAGAGTTCGAGACCAGCCTGGGCAACATGGTGAAACCCCATCTCTACAAAAAAATTAAAGTTAGCTGGGTGTGATGGCATCTGCCTGTAGTCCCAGCTACTTAGGAGGCTAAGGCAGGAGAATCGCTGGAGCCTGGGAGGCGGAGGTTCAGCACCAAGATTGCACCATTGCACTCCAGTCTGGGTGATGGGAGTGGAACCCTGTCTCAAAAAAAAAAAAAAAAGTTGTTATTCAACAAATATTTATTGACTATAGCATACCAGACACAGTTCTAGGCTCTGGACTCATAAACGACAAGATCCCTGTTCTCATGGAGTTTACAGACTAGTGAGGGTGGTGGTAGATGAGAAACAAGTAAAAATGTTAACAAGATGAGGGCAGAGTGAACATAATTTTAAAAGGTACTGTGAGAGAAAAAGGAGGGGTTGGGGGATAGAGTGATCAGAGGGCTCTTTGAGGTGATTATTTGAGATCCAAAGAGGAACTAGTCTTTCATGATAAAATGCGGTCTTAAAAACACCCACTTCAGAACATATATCCAGATAAGTCTTTTTCAAAACCCCTGGGACTCCTCTGGTTTTTGCCTTCAGAGCCCATTAAGAAAAGGAGGTATGGCTGGACCTGACGACTCATGCCTGTAATCCCAGCACTTTGGGAGGCCAAGGTGGGCTACTTGCTTGAGTTCAGTAGTTTGAGACCAGCCCGGGCAACATAGTGAGACCCTGTCTCTACAAAAAATAGGTGAGCAAAGTGGTGCACACCTATGGTCCCAGCTACTCGAGAGGCTGAGATAGGAGGATTGCCTAAGCCTGGGAAGTCGAGGCTGCAGTGAGCTGTGATCATGCCACTGTACTTCAGAGCCTGGGTGACAGTGAGACACTGTCTCAAAAAAAAAAAAAAAAGAAAAGAAGGCTTAACTCAAAGCAGCATTTACTATCACCTCTTTCTTTGACCCTGAATATCCTTGGAATGTTTCTGAAAGTTAATCCATCTTTTTTATTTTCAACATTTTTGAGACAGGGTCTCACTTTGTCGTGCAGGCTGCAGTGCAGTGATTCAATCACAGCTCCCAACTCAGCCTCCCAAGTAGGTGGGACTACAGGCATGCACTACCTTGCCCAGCTAATTTCTTTTTCTTTTTTTTTTTTTGTATTTTTTGTAGAGATGGTTTTGCCATGTTGCCCACACTGGTCTTGAACTCCTGGGCTCAAGAGATCCTCCCACCTTGGCCTCCCAAAGTGCTGGGATTACAGGCATGAGCCACCACCCCTGGCCAATCCAATCTTAAGTATAAATATTTACCCAACATTTTAGTGGGAAAATGTGCAGTGAGCTCTGTAGAAAAGTCAAGAACCGTGTGAGGTCCTTTCTTCTCGCATCTCTGGCAATTGTGCTCTTCTTTTGCTATTAAGTTCTTCATCCTTCTTCTTGGTAGGGATCTATAAAACAGTAGTGAAAATAAAATATTCAGCAAATAAAGGCAGGAGGAAACATAAAGGATATTACTGAGATAAAGGGGGAAGTATAAAAGATTACAAGAACAAAACCTGAAAAATTGTTCCAAAGCTGCTTCCCTTGTTGTACAGCTTTCCAGGCCTTGCGGCTCTCAGGCTCATTAGATCTCTAGGGTATCCTCCCCATGGGTCAAGCAACCTACTTTCCACAAACCTAGTTTCCCCTGTCTCTCTCTGATAAGATTAAGGCGTCTGCCAGTGGTGAAACACTGATGTAACTCAAATTGCTTACATGGTAATACATAACTCCTACTCTCAACTGCCTTCTCCGTTCCATGTGTAGAATGAGTTAGTTCTCTTTAAATTCCCTGATGTCAAACCTGTCACTGAAACATATTGGTTGAAAGCATCATAGGTCCTGCTTGATGAATCCTCAAAGTCAGCAGGGTTAGAAGAGATTTACGTATCCTCTTTATGATACCGATTATTATAGATCTCAATAGCATGCTGCCAACACAGACTTAAGTCTCGCTGGAGCACATCCAGGAAGGAAAAGATTGGTGTTTTGTGTTGATCACAAAACATTCAACTAAGTTCATAAGGAAAGATTCCAAATAGCTAACCTGTGTATCATTAAATAACTCTCAAAACCTCTTTTTACAGATAAAAGGAAATTAAGTCTCTCAGCTCAGAAAGGTACCCTGGGAAGCATTATTTTTTAATGTACCAAAAATGTCTTTGTACATCTCTGTATTAGATGCTTTTATAAACAACGTGCATTATGAGAAAAAAATGAAAATTTCCCATTTTTATTTTAAAAAGGTACAGAGAATAGAGTCCAAATGAAGTCTCCAAATGACAATATGCCAGAGAACACCAAATTCCCAAATCTGAGTAACTATCTAAATTTCTGAGGTCTCAGCCTGGACAACATGGCAAAACCCCATCTCTACAAAAAACAGAAAAATTAGCTGAGTGCGGTGGTGTGCACCTGGAGTCCCAGCTACTCAGAAGGCTGAGGTGGGAGAATCGCTTGAGCCTGGGAGGTTGAGGCTGTTGAGGCTACAGTGAGCCAAGATCGCACCAATGCACTGCAGCCTGGAGGACAGAGCAAGACCATCTCAAAAAAACAAGAAATTCTGAGGTCAGCAATTAAATATTTGCTTTTAACTTTCTACTAAAGTACAAAAGAAAAATAACACAATTTCTATGAAATATCAGGATAAGCATAGCAATAAATCTGGCTTAATGTAAATGTAGCCATTTTCACATATATTACTGGGGAATGGCAGACATGCTTCAATTAACCCCAAGATAGAAATAAAATTATAACCCGGGGATGTCAACTCAGTTTGTACTAAATATTGTTTAACTGCAACTAAATGTTAGTTTCTTTCCTTCCAGTTCAGAAATATATCTTAATAACTTTTCTTCATTATCCTTTCATCTTGAAAGTGCCTGAATTAAGAGTGCTATTATTCTTTCATCCATTAATAGGGTTGCCATAACCCAAATGCTTTCTTTTTCGGAGTAAAAATTTTTTTCTGATAACATTTATTCTTTTGAGACAGTCTCAATGATCCATATATCTAG
This sequence comes from Homo sapiens, assembly GCF_000001405.40. Classification (NCBI taxonomy): domain Eukaryota; kingdom Metazoa; phylum Chordata; class Mammalia; order Primates; family Hominidae; genus Homo; species Homo sapiens. The sequence goes on from NC_000001.11 coordinate 204,402,398, forward strand.
TATTAAAGCATGATTCCATCTGACTTTATTTTTTGAGACAGAGTCTATCACCCAGGCTGGAGTACAATGGTGGAATCACAGCTCACTGCAGGCTTGAACTTCTGTGCTCAAGCAACCCTCCTGTCTCAGCCTCCCCAGTAACTGGGTCTATAGGCTAGGACCACAGGTGTGCGCCACCATGGGCCAGTTTTTTTGTTTTTTTTTGTAGAGGAAAGTGTCTCACTATGTTGCTCAGGCTGGTCTTGAACTCCAGGCCTCAAGCAATCCTCCCACCTCAGCCTCCCGAAGTGCTGGAATTACAGGCGTGAGCCACCATACCTGGCCCACTTTTGTAAATGAGAGATCATCATGATTTTACAATACCATGATTATCGTGATTAGTAACACACAAAATAGCCAGACACGGTGGCTCACGCCTGTAATCCCAGCACTTTGGGAGGCCGAGGCAGGAGGGTCACGAGGTCAGGAGATCGAGAACAACCTGGCCAACATGATGAAACCCCATCTCTACTAAAAATACAAAATTTAGCCGGGCATGGTGGCAGGTGCCTGTGATCCCAGCTACTCGGGAGGCTGAGGCAGGAGAATCGCTTGAAACCGGAAGGTGGAGGTTGCAGTGAGCTGAGATCGTGCCACTTCAATGCAGCCTGGGTGACAGAGGCTCCGTCTCAAAAAATAATAATAATAATAATGCACAAAACAGAGATTTCCCTGCTACTTAAGCACTAGGCTAAGCCCAGCATCTGAATGTTATTGCTTCTGTGAATACCCAGTTTAATTTTCTTTGCAGCAAAACTGAAAAGCTAGGGCCAATTTCAGAATCAAATCTTCAGTTTCTTAGAAGGGCCTCTCATAATACTGCAAGAACCAAGTTCTTCTATTACTAAAATGTTGTTTGCAATTATACTAATCCTGCTTAGTAATTCCAAAACCATTGTAAAATACTATGATACATATAATATAAAGTTGAACCAAAATATCACTTAACATTTAATAATTGCAAATATATTTATTACAATTTACAGATTAGTTATGTTATATACACAAATATAATTTTAACTATAAAATCCCAACTAGTTACATTTAAATTATTGATCTGTAGAAGCCAATTTAGAGTCTTCTAGTCCCCTAACTTTACCTTCCTTAAATTATACAAAAATAAAATCTGATAGTTTTGATTTCAAGTTAAAGATGAAGAAGTGTTACATTTCATCACTCAGAAATGGAACTTTTACCTGTCTGTACAAAGCCTTTTACATGCTACATTGACACTTAAAGCACCATTAACAAGACTTTAAATGTATAAAATGTTTAATTAAAACCTCCAAAGATTTTCTCTTTAAGATTACGGGGGTTTAACTTTGTTCTAACTAGAATTGGGATGAAACAAGAATTTTGCTTTTTTCTCCTTCAGTCCAACTTTAAAATAGTCCTTTCTGTCCTTCTTATCACCTTCTGATCACTTCTTCCAAGGAGGCTAGTATATGGAAGAACTCTTAATCAAGCTTTCACTCATTTGGTAGTGAGGTTAGAATCCCATGGGGAACAATTTTCCAAAATCCAATGAAAGATGTCTCATTATTTTCAAATACACAGAGGTGCTAGGTTTAAGAAACAGGAAACACAACGTTAAGTCTCGGAAATAAAATGTTTCAGCCTGGTTTTAAAAGAATGCCTGTATGTTGTCAAAAGGCTTTTTTCAAGGCAAATGACGCCTGCTTTCCAACCGACATTGCTGTTGCTTGAAACTAGCCTGTTTTCATGTTATTAGACCATCCTGTAAATGTGCTCCCTATGATTACCTAAAGTGGAGGTGCACAAAACACACAGAATCCCAGCACTTTGAGAGGCCGAGGCGGGCGGATCACGAGGTCAGCAGTTCAAGACCAGTCTGGCCAACATAGCGAAACCCCGTCTCTACTAAAAAGACACAAAAAATTAGCCGGGCGTGGTGGTGTGTGCCTGTAATCCCAGCTACTCGGGAGGCTGAGGCAGGAGAATCGCGTGAACCCAGGAGGCGGAGGTTGCAGTGAGCCGAGATCGCGCCACTGCACTCCAAGCTGGGGGACCGAACGAGACTCTGTCTCAAAAAAAAAAGAAAAAAACAAAAAACACACAGAATAAGGGCTCTGCAAAAATTTGACCAGCTTTTATAGTGTTGCATTCTCAATGTGTTTAATTATGAATATATAAACAGTGGAGGCAGTTCTTAGAACTGGATAGAAATAAAATAATGACCAGGTAGATTGTAAACTGAGGTAGTAACCCTGTAAGCACTTCTGATGAAAAATTCATCCCCACACTTAAATAAGTTCAAAACTAAGAGGTCACCTATTCTACTTATGTTTTCCATTACCTGTGACAGGAAGCACACGGAATGAAAGCAGACCACGGAAGGGTTAACAACCCCTCAACCTAACTTATGTGTACCTTGTAAAGCTAAACAAATAAACCAAACACAAACAGTCAATGCAAAGACTTCAATTCAAAGTAACCTTTGGGCTAAATATATTAAAACTTTCCAGTCATTAATCTATACTTCTATCCTTTCCTGAAAGTAAAGGCCTTGCCATTACTTCTCTCATTATTAAATAGTAGGACACAATAAACCTGGATATTGACTGAAGTTTATATTTTACATTTCAAACGTGAAAATTCAGAACTGCCCATTTCCAATTTTACAGTGGGATCCTGACAGGTTTTAAAAGTGACAGTGCTGAGGCATGATATTCATTAACACTGGTTTTCTGTTGAGAACATATACACCAAAACCAAATTGCTCTGAGATGTCTCCTATTTTCTTTCTAGGAAATTTCTAGGCTTTTAAGTTTAAAAAATAAATGATTATGATGTAATTATTACTTTCCAGAGTGTTTTGCAATAACTTCAACCTGTTAAGAGATACAAAGAACTATATTAAACTGGGAACTACAATAACGTACACAGAACCCTCTTCAAAGAAATTAAATATATTAGATGTTAAAATGTGGTAGAAAGATGCAGCTTTCCCAAAGTAGTAAAGTACTGCACATATGGGTTTTGTGGCAGTCCTTGGAAATATCCTAGGTAGAACTTAATGTAGAAATAAAAAGGCTACCACATATTTTCAATCCAAGTCATTTTTACAAGAAAAAAAAAAGTGACACAAAATAATGCACTTTAAGTTGGTAGCATACACAAGGTTATTTTTTAGCCTAACATAGACAGGCCAAATCATTGAAATAAAAAAAATATAGAAAAACATAAAAGCCCATTAACTTCTGAATTTTGGGAAAGAAACAAGAAAGAGCCCAAAGTTTTCAGATAGGCACACATAATTTAGATTAGAAATGAAAATGGGCTTTAAGCCCTATAAATATTGTTTTCCAAGAAAATAAGTTTTGAAAGTGCAAAATGACAACTCAAAAAGGTCCCCTTTCCACCTCATGCAGGCAAAGGACATTTAAAAGCACATCCAACTAAATCAAAAAAGGGAGGATTAGAAATCACACTAGTTCATCCTTCATTATCAGGGCTGGCTTCAAACCTGAATGTTTCTGAGTGGGATATGTTGCAAAAAAAAAAATTAAACTAGATCCAAGTTACATTTCCTCTAAAAAAAAAAATGTCAAAGGACAGCTGCCAAGATTTGTTTTTAAAAGACACCTCTCAGGTAAGAGGTAGTGTATGCTAGCTAGGACTACAGGCTGCCAACTCAACATTGCTTGAGAACATTAAGTCCTTTGAAGCATGTTCCCTGGAGTCTATTAAACATTCTTTCTCTGTGTTCAAATGTCAAGCAATATCCAATAGCATCTTCTGTTTCTTGAATTCGTTTCTGGAACCTGCATCCATCCCTTGCAAATTCTTCCCATGGTCCTTTGCGATCCTCATCACCACTTATATAATACTCAGTAACTTCTTCAAGGAAGGTTACCTACAAAAACAAAGACTAATTTTAATAACTGTCTAGGATCTTACAATCAGCATTGAGGTCAATAACCCTTTATGCTACCAATTCTTTCAGAATATTCCCAACTAAGAATAACATATTATTATTAGGAATATTTGGTCCCAGCTATATTTGAAGTTAAAAAAAAAGTTCTGTCACGCCTGTAATCCCAGCATTTTGGGAGGCGGAAGCAGGCGGATCACCTGAGGTCAGGAGTTCAAGACCAGCCTGACCAACACAGTGAAACCCTGTCTCTAGTAAAAATACGAAAAAATTAGCCAGGCGTGGTGGCACATGCCTGTAATCCCAGCTACGCAGGAGGCTGAGGTAGGAGAACAGTTTGAACCTGGGAGGTGGAGGTTGCAGTGAGCCAATATCGCGCCACTACACTCTAGCCTGTGCAACAAGAGCAAAACTCTGTCTCAAAAAAAAAAAAGTTCAGATTAGATGGCATTTGGATAAAATAGTGAACAAATGTCACCTAAATATTTCATATAGAGATATATATCTTTCATCTATATATACTTCATTTATCTATATCTGCATAATATACACACACAGTCGTCTGCCCCCCCCAATCCCCCACCAGCCCTTGGCTTTTGGTGTTAATAAAATGAATCCAGATAGGGAATTGAATTTTTCATGCTGTTATTAACCCCTGCTATTTTTTAATCCTTAGGGAAATACAGTTCTGTGATATTTTTCCCTCAAAATGACAAGCAAAATATTTCTGAAAATAACCACTATATCCCTGGAAGTCACTGTTTTTATCACTGCATAAAGGCTTTAACAATATTTTTGCTTACTTCTATTCTTTTTCCTTTTAAAAATTTTTTTCACTTTCCAACTTTTAAATCAACATGTTGTACTATTTTTGTATCATTACTTTGGCAATAACAATACAGAAGAGAAAAAGTTACTTAGTAAACAAAGTATAGCAAAATTAGTATTTTTAAAGCTGTGTTACTCTAAGAAACTTTGTAGTTAAGATTTTAAAAACCTTTGTATTCAATATGCTATCACTATATATGAAATTGTGATTCTAATATACATAATGACATGTAATGAGTGACAATCCCTACTCATTACTAATCACTACTTAATTTCTAATGAAGTTTCTTTCTAAGATATCAAACTCCAAAAGTAAATACTTGCTTTCAAGTATGTTTAATAGTTACATCAGCTAACCCCAATGTGGCCTACTACTTTCGTTCCCTTTACATCAAGCCAAGGGATGCCCCTGAGGACAATTAGCAGGTATGTAACACCTTACTAGTTATTGCATTCTAGTCTTGAATACTACTCATTCATTGTGTCATTAAGATAAATAATAAAAACGTACAGTGTTTACCATATACCAGGCTTTTTTTAAAGAGCTTTACATTTTTATCTCATCTAATCCTCACATTAACCCTATGAGGTATGGACTATTATCATCCCCATTATACCGATAAGAAAACAGAGGTAGAAGGGTTTTTTAGACTCACTGTCCATCATCCTATATACTCCATATATTCCATACACCATTCCCCATATATACCAATGGCAGGTAGTCAAAGGCTGTCAAATAATTATATCATATTCAGACATAATCATTTATAAATTCTGCTTCTAGTTCATAGTCAATAGTATCATCTACTCCACTCATTTCATTTTACTCAACGAGCAAGCTAAAACAAGACATGAGACTGGCCTGAGGTCTCTCAATAAGAGCTAGCATTTAAAGGCAAGGCAATAAATTCTGAGTTTTATTTACTTGTCTCATTTAAATCTTGCAATAACTTGTACAATAGATATTATTATTTTACCCATCAAGTAAGAGTGAATTGAGGCCATGAGAGTCAAGCAACTTCCCAGGTCTGGCTGCCTTCCAAATCTCTGCGCCTTAACCACTGAGGAGTAGAGAACACAGGGCTCCAGCTGCCAAGTGCTCATTCCATTGCCCCACTTTGTTTCTTACCTATTCATTCTAAATAGGTCATTTTGTCAGGGGCCCCTTAAAAGGACAAAGAGAGATGGCATTTACAAAGTGTGAACTAAAATTTAATCTTTAACATGACTTATTCTGCCCTAAAGGTAAGACGTAAGATTATCACCATTTTGAGACATTTTCTACCCAGGAATAATTTCAAAGTAGTAAGCTGGCCATGTGGAGCCAAGAGATTATGGTACTGTCCATTTGAAACGCCCCAGTGAGGCAGAATCTGAGGTCAATAATAACTCACCCACTAACTTCTCTCTCCAAGTAACGGTATAGAAAACTAAAAAAACGTTCCCTCTACAATAATAGACACCTTTGAGTTTGGAGAAGAGTTCAATTAATAACTTTAGTTGAATCAACTATAAAGAAAAACAAACCAACTCTAAAGACTCCCAAAATAAGGTTAACCTGACAATGTAATTAAAGCGTAAAATGCTGCATGAAGTTTTAAGACTAGCCTGGGAAAAGGAAGCAACTAGTCAAGATAAACCAAGTAAGTGGCCATCACTGTTTATTATTAATATTAACCTGTAGCTGACCACTGATAACTAGCATTGCATTCCTAAGAAAAGGCAATACCACTTCCTGTACTGGCTTTGACTTTCAATTAAAACCATGTAATGTCAAAACCAGTGAAATTACTATTTAATTTCATGGCCAATTGGACCAGATAAATCTGACTTGCTACTTGATATCATCATCCCTTTGGGTTGTAATGGACAGGAATGAAGACACTCTTGTTATATGCAAAAAAAATATTAAGTATTTGCAGACAACATACATTTAAAATCATTTTAAAACTCTATGGCTGTAACAGGACCTTTTCAATCTCTAGAAAAATTAAATCGTGTACACACAAAGTTTAATAGTCCGTTAAAAAGTGTGAAAAATTGAAGCTTGTAAGGAAACAGTCCAGAACTACCAACCCAAATAAAAATGGCACTTTCCTGCTAACATCTACACACTGGTATGTTCGTTTTGGACAGCAACAATGTGCATTGGGGTGGGGGGTGAGGGACAGGAGGAGAAGGGTCATTTACATATTTCTCAATCCAAGTATATGAATTTAGAGGCCTTCCTCAAAAATACATGCACTCCTAAGCCTCCAAAGTCATGCTGCTATATTTAAGCATATAAAAACAGTCAGAACATATCAGGCATGTTAAAAGACAAGAAACAAACCTTTTTTCTTTTGACATGTGTGTGTCTTCCTCCAGAAAGAACGTCACGCTGTACCGAGTCTGGACATTCACTTTCTTGGCTCCCCAACAGCTGCACCTTACAAGAAAGTAAGGTGTGACACTCAGAAATGGCCACAATGGACTCAGATGGGGTCTTTGAGTCACGACAGCCTTTCTCATTTTCCCCTGATGTTTGAAAAGGAGCCTTAAAATTTAAAGGGTTGTAGGGGTCATCAGAATTACAGAATGAGTTCCACAGTTTGAGACTCTCTGCTTCATCTGCACTAGATTCCCAGTCATCTTCCTCCCCAGAACTATGCTCAGGGGTCTCAGGAAGGCTTCCAGACTGGGAGGAATTCTCTAGATCAGACTTGCCAGACAAATCCTTCTCTGAATCAGAAGGCTCTTCAGGAACAATTCTGGCAGCAGTCTGAATTGTTGCTGTAAAGTTCTGGGGATTATAAGGATCTACACTGCAGAAAGAGTTCCAAAGGTGAAGCCCTTCAGGGTCTTGTTCAAGGTCTGAGTCTGACAGTGAGCTATCACTATCAAAACCATCATCCTCAGCTTCCTCATCCCAATCCTCACCTTCTGGATCAGAACTTGTTTCCAGGTCACTGGATGCACCTCCCAAAATATAATCTATCAGTTTGTTACTACAAGCTGGTCTGGCAGAAATGGGAAGGTCACCTTCTAGGTATGAGTAATCAACTACACTTATTCGGCCCTCTCCAGGCTCCTTTTCCATAGGTATCTCACTAGATGGACAGCCCTCAGAAGGGCTCTCTTCTTCCAAAGCAAGTGGAACCTCTGTAGTTAATAATTCTATTTTTTCTTCAGTGGATTCCTGGGTGTTTCCAGGAATGTCTCCAGCAGCAGGAACAAACTGTGTTGGGTTATCTCTGCAGTGTTTTGGATCCATCCGGAGAAGGCTGTGTTCCTCCTCCAGGCTGTGGTAGCCATTATCCTGGTCAGGGGTGGGTAAATCTTGCCCCTTGCTAGCCTGTTGAAGGAATTCCAGCCGTTTCATGCGAAGATGGTGAATTTCTGGTAGGCCTTCCGTAGAAAGAGGTGGACATCCCTGCCACGAGGCCGGAATGAGTTCTGCACTCAGCGGCTGGGGATGACAATGGTCCTCTCTCAGGCAGCTGCTCTCTGGGGTTAGTGTCTGGAAGCCGACTACCTCGCTATTTCCATCACTGTTCTGATAGCTGACTTCTAGCCTAGGAAAGCAGTCCAGGTAGGAAGGGTTCAGCAAATAGGATACCACACTGAAATTGTCTATGCGTTGAATGTTTAGAGGCCCAGAGGGCGAAGAGCCAAGTTCCCGGTTAGAGTACAGACGGGATTGAAGGCTACTGGGCAACAGCTCCACTCCCCACAGCTGCTGCTCTAAGAGAAAAGCCTGTGCTGCAGGGTCCAAAGCACTTCCCTTGGCCTTAAGCTCCAATTTTAGGTCTGGGGGCGAGTATTGCCAGTGGATCCCCTCCTCTAGCCAATCAAGGGGACTGGTGACCGAGGGGTCTGAGGAGTCGAGCTGCAGCGAACTCAAAGATTTCTGCGCTGTGGGGGCGGCTGGTTTCTCCCGTCCCTTCAGGGCTCTCAGGGCGCTGTAGACTCCAGCAAAATCTAGCCATCTGGTCGGAAACATTCCACCGAAAAGTTGGCTCCAAATTAGCACCTTCTGAAGCAATCCGGGGAGCGGCGCAAGGAGCTGGGAGAGCAGTTTCGTCCAGTAACTGACCCGAGTCTCGGGCTGGGCAGAGGAAAGCAGTGTGGGGTTCCCGGAGTTTTCCGGGCCAAGAGGCGTCGGGAACTTAGAAGAGCCTGCTTGCGATCGCCGAGGGAAAAAGGGTGGCCAGAACCGGAAGCCCGCCCGAGGGCCAAGCCGTTTCCGCGATCCGCCTGTCCCCGGCTCCATCTCCTTTTTCTTGACAGTCTCTCAGGTAGGGCCGCGGCGCTCAGCGGCTGGAGGTCGACGGGATTCGGAGGAAGCCTACAGAGTCTCGGCCTTGCCCAGCGGTGGCGTCGCTGCTCCAGGCCGATCTTCGAGCCAGCAGAAAAGCCACAGAGGGCAGCGAATGCGGCAGCGGGCGGCAGAACACAGGGAAGAACAGCCCGCGCAATAGGCGGCGACTGATGCGACTTCCATCCTGGCGGGGAAGGAGGTTCCCTAGTCGGCTCGACGCTTCAACACCATGGATAGGAGTCCCCCCACGGCCTCGGCGATGGTTTTCCGACTGACAGAGGGTTGAAAAGCCCCTGAGCAACGCGATACCGGAAGGACTGGGTAGGCCGGCTGGTGCGGTGGAAGCGAAGCCCAAAATGGCCGCAGGGCCCGCGCGCCGGCAGGACACCCCCCTAGACGCCGGAAGAGACGCAGGACTGTTGGGCGTCTACGTCCCTAGCGCCGCGCCGCCCAACGTCACTCGCAAAATCCCCGGGGGGCGGGCCTTTCCGCCCACTTCCGTGTGGCCGCCGATTGGTTTTGCCAGATTTCCCTGTCGGCTTCCTTACTCGAGGTAGAGCCGCACGGCAGCGTGAGGTTGCATCAGCCGGGGCGGGGGGGGGGGGGGGGGGGGGGGGGGGAATGCACGCATGCGCAGTCGTTTCTGTGTGGTCTCCTAGGAGACCGCCCCAACAGCCCTCTAGGTTAAAGGTCTTGGGGAGGGGAGGGGTTTTCAAAATAACCCGAGAATTTCCCGGAGGCGTTTTGATGGCCTAATACACACTGACGTGTGTACAGTCATCCCCTCTCATGAAATGGGGATTAGTTCCAGGACCCCGTAGACACCAGAATCCGCAGACGGTCAAGTCCCTTATGTAAAATGGTATAGTGTTTGCATATAACCTGCATACACCTTCCCAGATATTTAAACCATCCCCTAGATTAAGTATAATACCTAATACAATGCAAGTGCTATGGAACTAGTTGTTATACTGTATTTATTTGTATTATGTTTTATTATCTTTATTTTTCCCGAATATTTTCAATCCATGGAAGGTTGAATGCCCCGCGGGCCAACTGTAGGGTTATCGTAGTCTTAGATTTTTATTATTTATTTATTTGAGACAGGGTCTAGCTCTGTCGCCCAGGCTGGAGTGCAGTAGTGCGATCTCGGCTCACTGCAGCCTCAACCTCCTGGGCTCCAGTGAGCCTCCCACCTCAGCCTCCCGAGGAGCTGGGACTACAGGCTCGCACCACCACGCCCAGCTAAATTTTTTTTTTTTTTGAGACGGATTCCCACTCTGTCGCCAGGCTGGAGTGCAGTGGCGCAATCTCGGCTCACTGCAACCTCCGCCTCCCGGGTTCAAGCGATTCTCCTGCCCCAGCCTCCCTAGTAGCTGGTACTACAGGCGTGTGCCACCACGCCCAGTTAATTTTTTGTATTTTTAGTAGAGACAGGGTTTCACCATGTTGGCTAGGATGGTCTCGATCTCCTGACCTTGTGATCCGCCCGCCTCAGCCTCCCAAAGTGCTGGGATTACAGGCGTGAGCCACCGTGCTCGGCCAATTTTTGCATATTTTTATAGAGACAGGGTTTCGTCGTGTTGCCCAGGTTGGTTTCAAACTCAGCTCAAGTGATCTGCCCGCCTCGGCCTCCTAAAGTGCTGGGGTTACAGGCGTGAGCCACTGCGCCCAGCCTGACAGATATTTCAGGGTTCTCCTATTGTTCAGTACTATGTAGACCATCAACCTGAGATCTTATGTAAAAGTTGGGCAGTGCTGCGTACATACATGTCTGGTGTGGGGCAAACTAAACTCACAGAGAAGCAGCTCAGTCCCCAGAACTATTTACTCTCTTTTATGCTTCCAAGCAGGCAACATATTCAATTCATATTTATTAATACTTCCTTAGCAACCAGAACCACAGAATACAACAGCCAAAAAGGAAACATGGACCACTATCCTTTGAAAAAAAAAATGGCTGGTAATTTTAATTGCTGTATTTGATTATCTCTTGTGAGTTTGGTCTTAGTTCATTTCTTTATTTCTGCTAAAACTCTGTAATAGATACCCCTGAAGTCAAGTACCAATTACAGAGGGAGGGTGGCAGTTATGAGCACTAGGGACAGCAGAAAAATCTTTAGGGAGCTGGGAGGAGACCAGCAGCTCCTCCTGCCTTACTGGGCCTGTTCAAGGAACAACCACTTCTTTTTTTCTTTTTTGAGACGAGTCTCGCTCTGTTGCCCAGGATATAGTGCAGTGGTGTGATCTCTGCTCACTGCAACCTCCGCCTTCCTGGGTTCAAACTATTATCCTGCCTCAGCCTCCCTAGTAGCTAGGACTACAGGCACATGCCACCACGCCCGGCTAATTTTTGTATTTTTAGTAGAGACGGAGTTTCACCATGTTAGCCAGGATGGTCTCAATTTCCTGACCTTGTGATCTGCCCGCCTCAGCCTCCCAAAGTGCTGGGATTACAGGCGTGAGCCACCACGTTCGGCACAACCACTTCTTTCTAGGAAGCCAAGAGGACCTCAGTTTCTGTTGTTTATCCTGTATTATTATCCATACCTCTGGAAAATCTCAATCCTATGAACTTCAGAAAAATGTATTAATAATAGAGGTCAGTTTCATAATACAGATCCAAGTAGGCAAATTTGTTACCAGAAGCCTGTTTCTTGTAAAGTGAGGCTAGTAATTCCTCTTTCAATGGATTGGTAAGAAAACTAAGTTTTCTCAGTGCCTAGCCTAGACAGAGTAGGAGCACAAAGATTAGCTAATATTCTTGTGTGGTTCTGCTTTACAGTCTTCAGTTGTTTCCTCATTGCCTGCAGAATAAAGGCTCTATGCAGCCTGCCCTCCCACTGTACTCTTCCAGCCTCCTCTGTCACTTGTCTTCATGCATGTTATATTCTAGGAACATTGGACTTACCTGTACTCCTTGCTTCCTGCCTTTACTCATGCTGTTTCTCAGCCAAGAAAAGCTTCACCTTTCCTGTTACATACCTACTCATCCTTCAAGATCCAATTCAAATGTCAGCTTCTCCTTGAAGCCTTCATTGACCTTTCCAGCCAGAATTAATGGATCCCTCACAGTACTTATATTATTCCGCTCTATTAGAGCACTTAACACATTGCATTACATATACCTGTAAGTATTCTCTCTTGCTGGTCCCTGAATTCCTTGAGGGCTGTATCCAACTATCTAGAAAAGTGGTTCCCAAAGTATGGTCTGGGCACCCCTGGGGATCCTCCTTTGAAACCCTTTCAGAGGGTCCTTAAGGCCAAAAATATTTCCATAATAATTCTCAGCTTTTTTAACTCTCATTTTCTCATGTATGTACAGTGAAGTCTTCTGGAAGATACATGGTGTGTGAACTGTCAACAGAATGAATGCAAAAGCAGATAGATACGAGATTCTAGCTGTTTTATATTAAGCCAGATACTAAAGACATTTGGAAAAAATGTAAGACAATGCCACTTTTCTCACTAAGCTTTTTATGTTTTGAAAAATAATTGAACATTACCAGCCTGGGCAACATGGCAAAACCCTGTCTCTACAAAACATACAAAAATTAGCCAGGCATGACGGTGCACGCCTGTGGTCCCAGCTACTCAGGAGGCTGAGGTGGGAGGATTGCTCAAGCCTGGGAGGCAGAGGTTGCAGTGAGCCAAGATTGTGCCACTGCACTCCATCCTGGGCAACAGAGTGAGATCCTGCCTCAAAAAAAAAAAAAAAATTAACATGTAATTGGTTATTTTTAAATGAATTTTAAAATTTTATTGTATTTTTCATTAAAGACAGAGTTTCATATGTTGCCCAGGCTGGAGTGCAGTGCGTATTCACAGGGGCAATCACAGCACACTATGGCCTTGAACTCCTGGGCTCAAGCAATCCTCCTGCTTCAGCCTCCCAAGTAGCTGGAACGACAGGTGCACACCACCACACCCAGCCTAAATGAACATTTTTCAGTTCCTCGGTCTTGAATTCATAAATAGGAAATATTGATAGCTATAAACCACATAAAGGTATAAAGATAGTTATTTGGGGTCCTTAGTAATTTTTTTTTGAGACAGGATCTTGCTGTATTGCCCAGGCTGGAGTGCAGTGGTGCAGTCACGGCTCACTGCACCCTTGATCTCCCAGGCTTAAGCAGTCCTCCCACCTCAGCCTCCCAAGTTGTTGGCATAGCAGGTGTGTACCACCACACCTGTTGTTTTTTTTTTTTCATTTTATTATTACATTTTTGAGATGGAGTCTTGCTCTGTTGCCTATGCTGGAGTGCAGTGGTGTAATCTCAGCTCACTGCAACCTCCACCTCCCAGGTTCAAGCGATTCTTCTGCCTCAGCCTCCCAAGTAGCTGGGATTACAGGCACCCACCACCATGCCCGGCCAATTTTTATATTTTTTTAGTGGAGACTGTTTCACCAGGTTGCCCAAGTTGGGGTTTTTTTTCTTTTTAGTAGAGATGAGGTTTTGCCATGTGGCCCAGGCTGGTCTCAAACTCCTGAGCTCAAGCAATTTGCCTGCCTCAGCCTCCCAAAGTGCAGGGATTACAGACATGAGCCAGCACACCTGGCTGGGGCCCTCAATACTTTTTAAGAGTATAAACTTTTTCCTGAGGCCAAAAAGTTTAAGAACCACTGAGGTAGTATGTTGACTGGTACATAATAGGTACCCAATAAATGTTTGTTGAATGAATGGAAGAGTAATAATACTTTAAAATAATGTCGTCTTCCTTAAGACCAAGCCTCTTGCATTCCACTCTCAACTTTGTCACTGACTGACACCACACACCCCTGAAAACAATTTCTTAAAACTTTCTTGAATGGAACTCCCCTTCCCCATGTAGTCATTGGATATATAATTTTTATTCTTCCTTATGTTAGAAGTTCTAAAGAGGGAAAATGCAATCATAAAGTATTTGGGCTAGGCATGGTGGCTCATGCCTGTAATCCTAGCACTTGGGAGGTGGGTCAATTGCTTGAGCCCAAGAGTTCAAGACCAGCCTGAGCAACATATGGCAAAACCCCATCTCTACAAAAAATTTGCCAGGTGTGGTGGTGTGCATCTGTGTTCCCAGCCACTCAGGAGGTTGAGGTGGGAGGATCACTTGAGCCCAGGAGGTTGAGGCTGCAGTGAGCTGAGAACATGCCACCACACTCCAGTCTGGGTGACAGACTGAGACCCTGTCTTGAAAGAAAAAGGGATGGAAGGAAAGAAAAGAAGAAAGAGGGAGGGAGGGAGGGAAGGAAGGAAGGAAACAAAGAGAAAAAAAGGAAAGAAAAGGAAGGAAAGGAAAGGAAAAGAAGAGAAAGGAAGAATGGGAGGAAGGGAGGGAATGGAAGGAAGGGAGGGAAAGGAAGGAAGGAAGGAAAGAAGGGAGGGAGGGAGGGAAAGAAAGAAGGAAAGAAAAGGAAGAAGGAAAGGAAAGGAAGGGAGGGAGGGAGAGAGGGAAAGAAAGAAAAAAAGGGAAGAAGGAAGAAGGAAGAAGAAAGGGAGGGAGGGAGGGAAAAGGAAGGAAGGAAGAAAGGAAAGAAAGAAGAAAAGGAAGAATGGAAGAAGGGGGGGAGGAGAGGGAAGGGGAGAGGAGGGGGACAGGAGTGTGGGGGGAGGGGAGAGGGAGGGGAGAGAGAAGGAAGGAAGGGAGGGAAAAGAAAGAAAGAACCTGAGCAACAGTCTACAAAAGTTTATGGAAAAAAAAAGTTTAAAAAATTAAAATATTTGAGAGCTGCCTCTGAGAATATGTGACTTTGCCTTGTTCGTCTCAGCTGGAAAAGTGTGACTCAGCCTTCCCAAGCCTGCTAGAGGGCAGAGGGAGGCCAGATCTGTACACAGAGATAACATGTTGCCAAGGCCGTGTGCAAGCTGGTGAAGACAAAAAGTCCTTCCATTGGCAAGCTGACTGGCACTTTGGCCGGAGAAAATTAAAACCTCAGTTAATTCTGTTTATTTTAAAAGACTTTGCCAGACTGAGGTAAAGGGTATATGGCTCTTGATTTTTTCGGAGTCACCACCAGCTCCAAAATCTGATATCGCAGTATCTCCCACTCTGGCTGCCGCCTCCTACCAATCCACACTGCCCTGATAACCCTATTCAGCTGCTGGTTAACTCCTCAGAGACCACAAACCATTGCTCTTACCACTTTTTGTGATCCATCACACTCTTCATTTCCCTCCTTACTCAGCATGAATTTCCATGATCCAGTATTAAAACTACCCCCTTGCCCTTCTACTCCCTGGCAAAACTCCAACCCTAGTTAAACCCAACTACTCACGCATTCTGCGCCTGCACCCTTGCAGCTAATCATTGCTTAAGAAGATCGCTCAGACATGCTGAGTGACTCACTTCATACTTGTGATCACAATCTCATCGACACCAGGCACTCCCACCACAGTTCCCTAGAAGCTTTGCTTCTCCTACACTCTGAGACTGTCTCACAATACTTCTTTCTTCAAATTTCCAGCATTTCCCATAAACACACATTCTCAGTTTATGATCACACTCATACTTCAAGAAAAAACAGATACAACTGGACATAAATCACCTCATCTTTCCCTGAACAAATCCACCGGCATCTGGACCCACATAATCTGCCTTCAATCCTGCCACAACCCAAGAAACCTCCTGGATGCCATCCCTCCATTTTCACTTAAGGAATTCTGACCTCTCTTATCCCTTCTCCCTAGTAACATACACGTTTCTCTCACTAATAGATCATTCACATTTACATAACTTAATATCAGCTATATTAAAAATAAAAAGACCACCCAGCATGGTGGCTTACGCCTGTAATCCCTACACTTTGCAGGGCCAAGGCAGGGGGCTTGAGCCAAGGCTTGAGCCCAAGTGTTCAAGACCAGCCTGGACGACATAGCAAGACCTTGTCTCTACAAAAATTTAAAAAATTCGCTGGGCGTGGTGGCTCACACCTGTAGTCCCAGCTACTCAGGAGGTTGAGGTGGGAGGACTGCTTGAGCCAACGAGGTTAGGGCTGCAGTGAGCCAAGAACACACCACCACCCTGCAGCCTGGGTGACAGAGCAAGACTCTGTCTCAAAAAAAAGTAAATAATAAAAAAAAGCCTTCCCTAGATACACACCCCTCCAAGCTTCTGCACCACCAGAGCGAAACCTCTCGAGAGTTGTTAGTGCTTATGGTCTCCACTTCCTCTTCACCTATACTCTCCCCAGCCTACACCAATGTGGCTTTCACCCCCACCACTCATTCAGGCAGCTCTTATCAAGGTCACCAAGACCACTTTGCTATGTTCACTCCTCTTGACTGTTAGGGGTTGAACTGTGTCCCCCAAAAGATAAAGTCCTAAAGATAAAGTACTAAAGTCCCCTTAGTACCTGTGAATGTGATCTTATTTGGAAATAGGTTCTTTGCAGATGATCAAGTTAAGATGAGGTCATTATGGTGGGCTCTAATCCAAGATGACAGCGTCCTTATAAAAAGAGGAGATTTGGACACAGACATGTGCATGCACAGGGAGAGAATGCCACGGCAATGTGAAGGCAGAGACTGGGTTGATGCATATATAAGCCAAGGAATGCCAGATTGCCAGCAAACCTCCAGAAGCCAGGAGAGAAACATGGAACAGACTCTCGCACAGCCCTCACAAGGAATCAACCTTGCAGACACCTTGATTTTGGACTTCCAACCTCCAGAAATACATTGCTGTTTAAGCCTCTCAGTTTGTGATACTTTGTTATGGCAGCCCCAGGACACTGATCATACTTTTCTTTAGGTTGCCAGGACACCATTGATCTGCTCCTCCTCCTCCTCTAAATGTTGGCCTCAATCCACCCACATGCCTCTCTAACCTGGGTGATCTCATCTCATTCCATGGAATTAAATGCCATCTGAATGCTGATGACTTCCATATCTAAACTTCCAGACTGACTTCCCTTGGGCTTCAGATTCCATTCTATTATTTCTCCACTTAGATTTCTATCACACGTCTCAAACTTATCACAATCAGTAGTCTTGATTCAGCTCTACTGAACCTACCTCCCCACTCCCAGTAATTCCTCCAGAGGACTCTTTGCCTACATTCTGAGGCTCCACACTGAGGAGTCAACCTCAACTCCCCTTTCCCTCGATTCCATATGCAGTCCATCAGCAAGTCCTGTCAGCTCTACCTTCAAAATATATCCAGAATTTGACCACTTTTACCATCCCCAAGCCACCATCATTTCCCTCCTAGACTACAATAGCCTCCTCTTCTGCTTCCATTCTTGCTTCGAACAGCAGCCAGAAGAATGATCCCTTAAAACATAAATTAGACATTACCGTTTTTCAGGTTTTTTTTTTTTTTTTTTTTAGATAAGAGTCTCTCTCTGTTGCCCAGGCTAGAGTGCAGTGGTGCCGTCTTAACTTACTGCAACCTCCACTTCCTGGGTTCAAGTGATCCTCCTGCCTGAGCTTCCTGAGTAGCTGGGATTACAGGCGTTCACCACCACACCTGGCTAATTTTTGTATTTTTAGTAGAGTTGGGGTTTCACTATGTTGGCCAGGCTGGTCTCGAACTCCTGACCTCAGATGATCCACCCGCCTTGGCCTCCCAAAGTGCTGAGATTAGAGCCATGGGCCACCGTGCCCGGCCCCTGCAGTTCCCTTTCTGAAAACCCCATCACCCTAAGAATAAAGCCTGAAGCTCTGATTGATTTTAACACTCAGATCAGATATCCTCTCTGAAGCCCACTCTGCCTGCCCCACCCCTTCTTATGCCACCTTGTCCGTATCACACTGCACTGTATTTATTTCCATGCCTGCCTCCCTTGAAAGACTGAGTTCCTTGAAGACAGGATCCACACCTTTGTTATCTGAGTAGCCACAGTACCGGACACCTCGCCTCACCCAGAGTAAGCCATTAGTGTTGTTTGTTGACACTTTAGACAAGTCCCAGCCACCAGAAAATTCTCTCCCAATTTAAAATGCTGCCTCATTTTTTCACCTTTCAAATCCAGTCTAATCTTTGCTCCCCAAATCTCGGCAAGCTGGGCTGCTTCATTTTTGTCACCTCTCTTTGAACTCAGAAATCTGGGCCCCCTGGGCTGCCTTTGTTTCTTTTCTCCTTGGGCAACCTCTCTCTCTCATTCCCCACCTCTCTCATTCCCATTCCCTCAGGAGGGTTCAGATTTCTACCTCATTTGGCCACGAAATTTCCTTCACTAAGACTCTTGGCAGATTCAAGTACTAACCTTTAAAAAGTCCATAGGGACTTGCCCAGAACTGCAGTGACACCTCAAGACCACTTAGAAATAAAGCAGTAACACTTCCTACTGTTTACTACTGAAAAATCCCTGGAAGCCCCCACAGAATTCCCCAGTATGAAACATGACTCCCCACTGGAGAGTTCTGAAGACTTCTGGGTACAATGCTTGAACAAGGGTCACTTCACTTCCATCCTGCACTTGGGGGATTCCCTTCTGGGCTATGGTTATGCTGTAGTGGCTTGATAGTTTTGAGGCATCTCAAGTTTCAGTTTTTTCTCCTATAAAATGGAGTTGGTCAAATATTTCTAGGTAGTAAACTTCTTTTTTTTTTTTTTTTAAGACAGTTTCGCTCTTTTTGCCCAGGATGGAGTGCAATGGCGCAATCTCAGCTCACTGCAACCTCCGCCTCCCGGGTTCAAGCGATTCTCCTGCCTCAGCCTCCCAAGTAGGTGGGATTACAGGTGCCCGCCACCACACCCAGCTAATTTTTTGTATTTTTAGTAGAGATGGGGTTTCACTGTGTTAGCCAGGATGGTCTCGATCTCCTGACTTCGTGATCTGCCTGCCTCGGCCTCCCAAAGTGCTGGGATTACAGGCGTGAGCCACCGTGCCTGGCCCTGGTAGTGAACTTCTTAAATGCAGAGAACTGTCTTAATTTACCTTGGTAAGCCCCAATCCAGTACCTAGAGTACAGGGCCCAGGATGCATTCAATACAATGTATTTTTTTATGAATGGAGGCATGCCACTAGGTAGCACTGGTAAGAACTGTAAATGTTTGTTGCAGAATTCATGAATGAGCCATACTTACTGTCCAGGGCAGTGGTAATGGAAGATGATATATATCATGTATAAAAAGCACCCGAAATACCAATTAGACCAACTTAAGGGATTGTATTAAACATTGCCTAGGAGGGGTTGCACAAGGTTTGGAGTGCAACAAACCTGGGTTCAAACTCCAAGACTTATTGGCTGTGTGCCCTTAGGCAAGTTACTTCATCCCTCTGAGCTTCAGTTTCTTCATCTGTAAAATGGGTAATGGTACACACCTGATCAAGTTGTTGTGAGGATAGATTTAGCTGACAAATGTAAAAATGGTCAGTGCAGTGCACTAGTGCATATAAAAGTTACCATGTGGTGGTATAAAAAACCACTATTATTATTTTCATCTCATACATCAGATGTTTCAATGTAAACATGTGAACATCAACCAATTTTTTTTTTTTTTTTTTTTTTTTTTTGAGACGGAGTTTCACTCTTGTTGCCCAGGTTGGAGTGCAATGGCACGATCTCGACTCACTGCAACCTCCACCTCCCTGGTTCAAGTGATTCTCCTGCCTCAGCCTCCTGAGTAGCTGAGGTTACAGGCGCATGCCACCATGCCTGGCTAATTTTTGTATTTTTAGTAGAGACGGGGTTTCACTATGTTGGTCAGGTTAGTCTCGAACTCCTGACCTCGGGTGATTCACCCACCTTGGCCTCCCAAAGTGCTGAGATTACAGGGATGAGCCACTCTGCCCAGCCAAACATCAACCAATCTTTAAAATGATAGTTTCAGCTGGGTGCAGTGGCTCACACCTGTAATCCCAACACTTTGGGAGGACAAGGTGAGAGGGTTGCTTGGACTCAGGAATTCAAGACCAGCCTGCGCAATGTAGCAAGACCTTGGCTCTACTAAAAATTACTTTTAAAAATTATGGGAGGCTGAGGCGGGTAGATCACTTGAGCCCAGGAGTTCAAGACCAGCCTGGGAAACATAGCAAAACCCTGTCTCTACAAAGAATAAAAAAAAATTAGCCAGACATGGTGGTGTGCACCTGTGGTCCCAGCTACTGGGAAGGCTGAGGTGGGAGGATGGATGGAGTCCGGGAGGTGGAGGTTGCAGTGAGCCTAGATCTCACCACTGCACTCCAAGCCTGGGCGACTGAGAGAGACCCTGTGTCAAAAAAATAAATAAAATTATAGTTTCATTTTTTTCTCAAATGTCATTTATTAGAAAATACAATTCCCGAGAAAGGAGATACAAGGGATTCTGGGAAGTGGGAAGTAAACAGTACACAGATCTCTTTAAATCAGGAGCATATAGGTCATAATAAAATGAGCTACAGGCACAAAGCCAGTAACACATTTATGGTCCGTTCATCTGGAAAAGTTTCACCGCCCACTCCCCACTCCTCTTCCCCCTCCTGGAAGCAGCCAGCTTTATCCTTGGCATTTTAATTTTAGAGAAAATTTAAACTTCCATGCTGCCCTGTGGCTTCGGTCAATGGAGCTTCTTTCTCCAGTTATGGAATGAGTCAGCAAAACGGGGAGTTTCTGATCCTTGGAATTAGGGAGGGACAGTTTACAGAATGTCCTCATTTCACTCTTTTCCCAATCATGGGAAATATCCAGCCAATTCTGGTTTTAAAGATTCATATCAAATTCAAAGTCCCTCCCTCCTTTTGGCGAGGAAGACAACCCTTTGGAGCGAAACACAAAAGAGCAAATGTAAAATCCATCTGGGGCGGGGCATGGTGGCTCACGCCTGTAATCCCAGCACTTTGGGAGGCCAAGGCAGGCAGATCACGAGGTCAAGAGATCGAGACCATCCTGGCCAACATGGTGAAACCCCGTCTCTACTAAAAATACAAAAATTAGCTTGGCGTGGTGGCACATGCCTGTAATCCCAGCTACTCGGGAGGCTGAGGTAGGAGAATCGCTTGAACCCGGGAGGCAGATTTTGCAGTGAGTCGAGATCATGCCACTACACTCCAGCCTGGCGACAGGGCGAGACTCCGTCTCCAAAAAAAAAAAAAAAAATCCATCTGGTAGGGAATAAAGAATATGAAGAGATAAGGGAGTCAGTCTCAGTCTCTCCCTTCGGGCTCCTGAGCTTAGCTCCAGGGGAATAATCACCACTCCAATCCAGCCTCCTACTGACCAAAGAAAAATCATGGGGCAAAAAACAACAGTTTTGATGGAATCCCCCACCCCATGCCCCTTTCCTTCAGATAGGGCATCCCTTTGGCTCCAGACTAAATAGGTTTATGGCCCCACAGAATGAGGAAAAGTCTTATAAAAAGGGTGACAGAAATGGAGTTTGGGAGGGAAGCAGCACAGCAGAAAGAAGTGGGGAGTGATGGATGGGGAATGCTTTCCAGAGGCTACCTAGCAAGCAGTCAGTAGCATCTGCAGCCTAGGGACCTCTTCCCAGGGCCAAGATGCTCTTGGGTGAAACTACATCTAAGGACTGAGTCAGTATTTTGTCCCACCAGAGACAAATGAAGGGAGAGACCTATGGGGAAGCACCCCCAGCATATTCATAGAGACCAGCTGACCCCCAGAAGGGCCAGGAGAATGGAGGGGCAAGGGGTAGAAAATGGTATTCAGGGCAAGTCCTAATAAAGTAGGGAAGACAAGAGGAAAAGTCCCCCCAAAAGAGCATGGGTCCCTGAATACGGGTCCTTGGCAGAACCCCAATACGGAAGGCCCTTCCTTACACATGTAGGTATCACAGCGCTCTCCTTTGGAGGCAAAATCAGAAAGGCCCAGTGGCACAAGCCTCAGTCCAGCACAGGCAGCCCTCCCCAACCCTCCCCAACCTGTCCTTAGAGAGGGCTCTGGCCGAGGACCCACTGGGCCCCTCCCCAGATAGTTCCTATAGCTAGAAAACGAAACAACAACAACAATAACAAAAAAAAAAAACCTAGGGAAAAGTCCAATAAGAACCTTAATCATACAAAAAGTCCAAATAGTCTTCCTCTCTTGCCTTCTGGGGCATAGGTACGTCCCTTCTCGCAAGGCTTCCTGTCCCAGTTAGGACAACATCACTATTTCATTTTTTAAAAATAAAAATTAAGATATCCACCCACCCACCCCCAAAATGCTACTTCATACAGCCCACCCCACACACTCCCCAAACCAAGCATTGCTCCCTTGACACAAGGTAAACTTAAAACTTTGCTGCAACCTCACAGCCTCCAAGGGGCTGCTCATCACAACCAACCCAAGTTCAGTCTCCAGAGGAAGAGACAGCAGAGCATGTCTTACTCTCCCTGCCTCCTACCACAGAGGCCAGAATCACCTGGACCGAGCTGGAGGCCTGCCCAGGGCCCTGGCCCTTCACAAGGAGGAGTCTCACAGGGGAGAGTCCTCTCCCCCAGCTCCTGCCACCAGCCTGGGATGCTGGGTGGTGGCTCTGCTGGGCTCACAAGGTGCCATGACTTCGAGATCCCAGGGCGAACCAGCCGGTCTTCTCCTGAGCCAGGTCCAGCTCTCGCAGGCGGATGTTCACCTCACCGAGGAGGACGTTCTCCCAGAATCCCTGCTCACTCAGCACGCTCAGCTGGAGCTCCCGCTGCTGCAGGTCACCCTTGGGGATCCCATCATATACCAACTGCAAACATAGAGATGGGTGAGGGAAGTGGTGAGAGAAGGAACAAGAAGAATCCAGAGGGAACCCGAGAGGGAGATGGTAAAGTCTGTTGGGGGCTGATCCAGCTGAGGCTAGCACTCACCCTGCAGAGTCCCAGGTAATACAGAAGGCACACAAGGTACACAGACTCCAAGGGAAGCATTAATGAACTCTGTTCTTTGCTCAGAGTTCAAGCAGGTGAGGGCTTTGTATTGGGGCCACTGCTCATTTTCAGCACAGGACCAGCAGGCTTCTCCTTCCCACAGGATAGGGCCAGACCCCAGCCATGAAATCCCAGCCCAAAAGGGCTGGCAAACTTTTTATGTAAAGGGACAGATAGTAAATATTTTTAGGCTTGATAAGCCATATGGTCTATGTTACAACTACTCGATCCTGCCATTGCAACATGAAAGCAGCTACAGGTAACACCTAAATCAGCAAGTACAGCCATGTTCTTAATACAACATCTTAATACGTTCTTCAATACGACTTTATCTAGGAGAACAGGCGCAGGTTGCCAACCCCTGCCCTACCCCACCATTTTCCCCACCCACCATCTCATTGTAGGTAGGATTGCAGGTTTTCCGGGCCACTTTGGTTTTCCTCTTAGTGGTTTTCTGAGGGTCAGGAAGGAGGTAAATTTTCACATAGGGGTCAGGGTCATTTCCATCCTGGAGCAGTTGCTACAATAGAATGAGAACCAAAAAAATGTTAAGATTTTTAACATCTGTCTCTTCACCACCATTCCTGTGATCACACTCTGATCCAGACTCTCATCTGCCATCTGGCATCTTGCAATGCACAACTAATTTATTTGTCTGCTTCCAAGCTCACTCTATTCTGATAAAAATATCTACCATGATAACATTGTGTCCTATTAAAACATCAATTGGTTTGCCTATGATATCAAGTCTATACTTTTATCCAAATCCTCAGGACATCCCATAATGTGCTCTGTTTTGAGTGAACCATCATGTTCCCAGGTATCTTCCTGCCATATCTACTATCCTTATCTATTTTGTCATTTGGTCCACTTAACCCCTAAGAGGTAGAGACATGAGTCACAGAGATTGAGCTGCTTGCTCAAGGGCAGCCAACTAGTGATTCACCCAGCCTGATCCTTTTAAAACCTAAGTCAGATCATGTCATGCCTCTGCTTAAAACCCATCTCATTCAGGGAAAAAGCCACGGTTCTTACTATCAGGGTGAGGTGCTGGTCCATCATACCCTCTCCAACCTCATCATCCACTCCTCTCGACTTTGCTCCATCGGCTTCAGCCGCTGGCCCCTTGCTGTTTCTGACGCACCCCTGGCAGGCTCCTGGCTCTGGGCTGTCAGATCTAACTGCTCCCTTTGCCTGGGAAAGTCTGCCCTCAGATGCATAAACATGGCTCCCTCCCTCACCTTCTCCATCTTGCTAAGACACCTCCTCAACAATGAGGCCTTCCCTGAGCACTCTTTGCAAAGTCCACTCCCTTCATTCCATCCTAGCATTCCTTCTCTGCTTTATTTCTTGCCATAGCTCTTACTACCATCTTCTATGCCATATATTTTACTTATCTGCCTGTGTGCCGTTCCCAACTAGAATGTAAGCCCCCTGAGGGCAGGGATTTTGTTTTGTTTTCCCCCATACCCAGAGCTAATGTATCAGTATATAGCAGGCACTCAAACATTTATTGAATGAAGAGTAAATGGATGAATGTTTATGTTCCTCCTGCCATATCCCACTGCCCCAACCTACATAAAATGCCTAACATAGGATGCAGCACAATGCAAGTATTCAAGTTCCCTTCCTGGCTGGGCGTGGTGGCTCACACCTATAATCCCAGCACTTTGGGAGGCTGAGACAGACGGATCACCTGAAGTCAGGCATTCAAGACCAGTCTAGCCAACATAGTGAAACCCGGTCTCTAATTTTAAAAAATACAAAAATTAGCCAGGTGTGGTGGCATGTGCCTGTAGTCCCAGCTACTCAGGCTGAGGCAGGAAAATCGCTTGAACCCAGGAGGCGGAGGTTGCAGTAAGCCAAGATTGCGCCACTGCACTCCAGCCTGGGTGACAGAGCAAAACTCCATTTCAAAAAAAAAAAAAAGTTCCCTTCCTCTTCTAGTCACAATGTTCTTAGAACTCGTA
Source organism: Homo sapiens (assembly GCF_000001405.40). Classification (NCBI taxonomy): domain Eukaryota; kingdom Metazoa; phylum Chordata; class Mammalia; order Primates; family Hominidae; genus Homo; species Homo sapiens. The sequence continues at coordinate 204,427,192 of NC_000001.11, forward strand.
CCAAAAATTTAGTAATTATCTACTACTGCCTTGATCATATTCAAAGGATGTCACGTGGCTGCTCAATCATTATAGCCAGGTAATGAGCCCCTTGGGCCTCTCCCTTATAATTACTATAAAAATCATTATTCTAATAAAACCAGGCATGGTGTTAAGTATTCCACAAGCATTATCTCATTTAATCCCCATAATGACTCTATGAGGTAGGTGCTAACATTTTCCTCATTCTAATGAGGCTCAGAATGATTAGGTTACTTGTCAAAGACCACAGCTACAAAAAGCTGTCTCATGTATTGCCTAGTCATACCATAGGCTTGCTATGGTTATAGGTCCATGGTGGATGCTCAGTAGACTGTGGTGGTTACCCATATGACACGCGGCAGAGAAGGTCTGCCCAAAAAAGTAGCTAAAGAAACATTAAAAAAGAAAAAAAATCACGGCTGTGCAGGCACTTACCAAGCCCCGAATATGCATCACCATGATGAAGAGTTTATTGTTTTTGTAGGAGATGGACAGCTTCACCTCCCCTCCCACCTTTCCGACGGGCCGGGCCCATGTGCCATCTGTAGGGACAAATGAAACCATGAAGGGTCAAGAGGCCAGGCAGGTGTTTCTGTTTTCTTCCTGAACCCCCTTGCCCCAGCCTCTCCATGTCAGATTTCTGATACTCATGAGGCATCTACATAAGTGTAGTCTGAATGTGATTAGAGTTAATTGGGTTGGGATGGGTCTAAGGATATAATCGACTGAATATCCACCCTGTGGGGAACCCAGGTAAGGAACTATGGACCCCACGGCCTGAGTGGGAAACTAGATTTCCCAGAGAGTAAGAAAAGGAACAGGAGGCAAGTCAAGGAGAGAGAACTGAGAAGAGGTTGGGGCAGAAGCAGTTACCCTTGGGGTAGTTCAGAGGAGTTGGCAGTAAGGTCTCAGAGAAGATACTGTACCTGAGGACTTAGGAGCTGGGCTGGTGCCCATAGCCTTCTCATCCCGGGGCAGTGGGTGGAAGAAGGTGTACACCAAATCACACTGGAACAGAATCAGAAACAGGGCCATTCTTCAATAAGACAATGGCCCAATACAAAAAGGAAGGGGACTGTTCCAGATGTAAAAAGACTTAGGAAATATAACAACCAACAACATGCAGTTCTTATGTGGATTATAGCTCTAACAAGCCAACAGTAAAAGGAATTTGGGGGATGATAGGGAAATTTTGAATATGGACTATGGACTGGATAATATAATAATACTGTAGTTACTTTAAAAACAAGACTTTATTGTTTAGAGATGCATAGTGAGTATTTAGGGGGTACAGTATTATGATGTCTGTAATTTACTTTGTTTGTTTGTTTGAGATGGAGTCTCGCTCTGACACCTAGGCTGGAGTGCAGTGGGGCGATCTCAGCTCACTGCAACCTCAGGCTCCCAAGTAGATGAGATTACAGGCCTGCGCCACCACGCCCAGCTAATTTTTGTATTTTTGGTAGAGACATGTTGGCCAGGCTGGTCTCAAATTCCTAACCTCAGGTGATCCACCTGCCTCGGCCTCCCAAAGTGCTAAGATTACAGGCATGAGCCACTGCACCTGGCATGTTATTTATTTTAAAATACTTCATAAAAAATAGAAGAAGCAAATATAGCAAAATGTTAAGTGTTTAGGTGATGGATATATAGGTGCTAATTATATTGTTTCTCTACTTTTCTGCATGCTTGAAAGTTTTAACCCTAAAAAGTTTAAAAAGAAAAAACAGGCCGAGCGCAGTGGTTCATGCCTATAATTCCAGCACTTTGGGAGGCTGAGGCCAGAGGATCGCTTGAGCTCAGGAGTCTGAGACCAGCCTGGTGACATAGTAAAACCCTGTCTTTACAAAAAAAAAAATACAAAAATTAGCCGGGTGTGGTGGCCCATGCCTACAGTCCCAGCTACTCAGGAGACTGAGGTGGGAGGATCGCTTGAGCCTGGGAAGTGGAGGCTGCAGTGAGCTGTGATTGTGCCACTGCACTCCAGACTGAATGACAGGGCAAGATCCTGTCTCAAAAAACAAACAAACTGTGTGAAAATACTCACTTGAACATTAATGGGGAAAAAAAACACATACTCTAAATATCTTTCAAAAATAAAATGGTTAAGATTATGGTACTGCAAGTTGGTGTCTGAAGGAACAGATATTTAAAGTTATAGCATATGTATACTATAAATGCTAAGGGAAAAAAGCTCAGAATCCAGAGTTATACTTAAGCTATAACCACTATAAAACTGTAAAAATCATGCTTGCATATGGACAAATAGGAAGGGAACATGGACAATAGGGGCAGATGATTTGTTAAAGTATTTAATAATAGGATTCCTCATGACTTTGTTAGGGCCATTATACTACTATTTGTTTAAAAAAAAATCTAGGTTGATAATACATACTCAACCTGCTCAAAAAACTTTTTCCTCAAAGAGGAGCCTTCCTTTCTGAGGCTCCGCTCATTCTCATCATTCTCAGCCCATGTGCCTCGATGCATTCACCTTTCTGTTTAATTGCATTTCTGTGTATAACCCTGTGAGGCTGGACCCACCCTCCTCCTGTCTTCTGCAGACTGGAGCATTGGTCATTCAGCCCACAGACCCCGAAGTGCCAAGTCCTGTTCCTGACTCCTAGTGCCTCCGGATGCTTCCACCTCTGCCTCCCCAACCATCCCCACCAGCCTGGACAGCCAGGAGGAGAGGCAAGCCCACCCACCTCGGCCACCTCAGGGGGTGCGTGGATCAAGTGCCAGATGTAACCGTTTAGCTCCTCCCTCCGCCGCTCGGCCACCGCCTCTCCCCGGGAGCGGCCGATCACGAAGCGACTAGGGAAGCTGGCGTGGCAGCGTAGGCAGCGGGGATGCAGGAGGTGAAGATGGGGAAAGAAAATGGACACAATGGGCTTTTTTCACATTTCATTTGCGTTTCCAGTCCCCTAGCACCCATTTCCCAGCAGCCTCCATTTCTAGGGACCCTCACAATTCCTCCTGTGCTGCACATCTGTGCCCAGGTCTGACACCTGCTCAGCATCTCATGACTACATTTCCAAGGGCCCCAGACAAGAAAACCAAACAGCAGGCCAGAGTCCTGTGGCTCCCCAGAAATGGCTCGGGAGCCCTCAGTTTCTCCCATCGATGTAAAAATCCTTTTTTTTTTTTTGAGATGGAGTCTCGCTCTGTCACCCAGGCGGGAGTACAGTGGCGCAATCTCGGCTCACTGCAACCTCCACCACCCGGGTTCAAGCGATTCTCCTGCCTCAGCCTCCCCAGTAGCTGGGATTACAGGCACACACCACCGCACCCAGCTAATTTTTGTATTTTTAGTAGAGGGGGGTTTCACCATGTTGGCCAGGCTGGTCTCAAACTCCTTAGCTCATGATCTGCCTGCCTCAGCCTGCCAAAGTGCTGGGATTACAGGCATGAGCCACCGCACCCGGCCAAAAAATTCATTTAAAAAGTTGTTTGTTTGTTTTGAGACTGAGTCTCGCTTTGCCGCCCAGGCTGGAGCGCAGTCACGTGATCTCAGCTCACTGCAACCTCTGCCTCCCGGGTTCAAGCGATTCTCCTGCCTCAGCCTCCTGAGTAGCTGGGATTATAAAAGCATGCCACCACACTAATTTTTGTATTTTTAGTAGAGATGGGGTTTCACCATGTTGGCCAGGCTGCTCTCGAACTCCTGACCTCAGGCAATCTGCCCACCTAGGCCTCCCAAAGTGCTGGGATTACAGGCGTGAACCACTGCGCCCGGCCTGAAAAGTAGTTTTTAAAAAAATTGCAGTAAAATATGTGTAACATAAAATTTGCCATCTTAACCATTTTTAAGTGTACAGTTCTGTGGAATTAACCATATTCACACTGTCATGCAACCATCGCCACTATCCAACTTCATAGCTCTTTTCATCTTGCAAAACTGAAGCTCTGTACCCATTAAACAACCACACCTACCTCCCCTCAGACCTGGGCAACTAGCTTTCTACTTTCTGCCTCTAGGAGTCTGACTACTCCAGGTAACTCAGATAAGTGGAATCGTGCCGTTTTTGTTTTTTTGTGACTGGCTTATTTCACTTAGCAGAATGTCCTCAAGGTCCATCCACGTTGTTACCCGTGTCGAAATCTCCCTCCATTTTAAATGCTGAATAATATCCCACTGTATGTACATATGACATTTTGCTTATCCATTTGAAAAATGGTGTAACTCTTTAAAAAATTAGAAATTTTGAAACATCAGATTCAACCATGCCTTCCTTTCTGGCCAGTGGGCCTGGAGTGAGAGCTCTTGCGTGCAAGGAGAGCTTGGCCAGCAGGGGGAGCACTTGTCATCAAACTCCATACCAGGCCAAGCAAAGCAGGCAGATGTTTAGTCCAAAAGGGTATTTTCTGCCCCTGCAGCCCTGACCACCTCCCATCCCGTATCCTTTCCCCCTCCCCGACATCCCTCTGTGCAGATAGTAAAGGGGGCAGCTACCTGGGCAAGTGGGAAGAAGGGAAGAGCAGCCGCAACTTATTGTGTAATTCCTGGAACTCCTCAAAGGTCCGCTGGATGTAGGTGGCCTCGTGAGTGTTCTCTCGCATCACCTTTACCACATATATCTGCAAAGGTCCAGATCTTAGGGTGTACCTGCCGAGCCCTCTGCACCCAGTGAAGGGTGTAGGAAAGGTCCGGAAGTGTATGTATGTGCTGAGGGGAGGGGCACATTCCAGAAGGAAGAGAGCAAGAGTGGAGACAGATGATAGCACATACACAGGAATCTAAAAGCAGACTTCCCACATATGTTGCCAGGATCCTTGACTCAGAGGGAATAACCATCCAATTCAGCTACCCAATTCTAGGCAGATCACGTGAGCAAAGGAGAGGGAAGTGGTCCAGGACTGCTCCCAGCACAGGACGCTCGGTCAACTCCTGTGCCCACTGTGCAAGTGTGGAAAAAGTCAGGATCCCAGCAAGCCAGGGTCAGCAGAGAGCAGGAAAGGGGGTCAGATTGGAGAAAACACTTACATAGCCTTTGTTGGGGTGGAAGATCTTCTCATGGCGGCAGAGGAAAACATCACTGATTCGGCCAGAGCTCTTGAGAGTGTGTGTTCGGGAGGCAAAGGAGAGGGTCAGCCGGTCATCTGAGCCCGTGAACTTCATCTGAGCCAGATTATGGATGAAAAAATTGAGCTTTGTGGCTACACTGCCCAGGCTGGACTCAATCAACCTGGCAGGAGGATAAGAAAAGAGGATATAACCATGAACCCAAATTCCTGCTGCCTCGACAGGGGTGTTCCAAGGAATATTCCTGACTCCTGAGACTAACAATCAGCTCAGATCAAACCATTTTCCTGTGTCATATCCTCATAAAGCAAATGACTGGCACACAATAATCTCATGCAATTTGCTCATGTGAACCCCAGGGTCTTATCTCCTCCCCTGGCTGCCCACCTGAGCCAAAAACCATCAAACCAAGGTAGAAAGGAACTAGGAACTCACTCTCTCTGTGTAAATGTCTAAATATCAAAAAATTTCAAGGTTCATTACAATAGAACCTCACCAAGCACTGTTCAATCTCAGATTTCAATTCAGCGGGAGAGGTCCTGTGTTAGGAGACCTAACAGAGAAAGTTTAATTCTCTGAATTCCAAAAAGAGTGGAGAACATTATCTACAGGGACCACATTTTGCAGGCATTCATAGATAAACACATCCTTGCTTTCACACACAGTGTACCTAAAAACATTGTCAAATATGAGGAGACTGAATCATGGAACTCCATGTTCTGGCAAGGGGGAAGCGTCTGACCAAGAAAGTTAAAAGTTATTACAAAAGCCACATTATACATTGCCCCATAGACAAAGTATTTGATGGGACCTAGTGAGAATGTAGATAAGAGTGATGGCAATACCCTTGTGTGCAAAGGTTAGCACCAAAACACAGATGGGAAACCAAGGCTGAGAGAAGCAAAATGATTTACCTAAATCACGGGCAAAGTTGGGACAATGTATCCACGTGGTCAGCTCTAGGCTCTAGCATCTGAGCTAAGCTTTTCACCTTTCCCCAGTCCTCCTCCTGCCAATCCGGCAGGCTGGGAATTACTCAGGGTGGGCAGTGCTGATTCGCTCAGGGAATCATTTTACCTAGTGAAGTAGGTAGTGGCATTGGCCTCTGTATCCTGAGGCCTCAGGGCATCGTACACATACTTGAGGTCCTCCAGGTCTGAGAGTTCAGGGATCCCACAGGACAACATCTAGAAGGAGCAGAAAGAAGAAGAGAGGGTGCCTGTAACAACAGAGAATTCTTGCTGCTTCTCTACCCTTAGGCAAGGTTTTCTACAGCTAGGCTCCCTAACCCTTCTAGAGGGTGGTAGACAGATGCTGTGGGCAGTGGCTGGAGGGCCACAGGAACTGAAGGGCTGGAGCAGGGAGTCAGGCACCTACACAGACATCATTGTCCTCAGGTAGTCTGGGTCCCTGCCTTTATCTAGGGCAGGCAGGTATTCAGTTGGGGCTCAGAGAGGTAAATCTCTAGAAATCCTCTGCGGCAAGACAGGGAAGTCTTAAAGATGATGCCAGATAATAAGAAGAAGGTATTCGGAAAGGGATGGAGCTCCTCACCAGGCCCAGAAGGTTGAGGAAGAGGTGGGTGTGCTTGCGAATGAGGTTGTAGGCTTGGCAGCAAAGGTCAACAAAATCATGGAAGCGGCTGGAAGGCTTGTCACCCCCGTTGATGACATACGCCATGTCCGAGGTGAAGACAAAGGGGGCACGGTCCCTGAGCCAAGGGGAACATACAGGTAGAAGGTCAACATGGAGGAGGAAGCCCACCATATGGGCTGCATCAGGGGTCAGTTTCCCTCATCCCTCATCACGTGGACACACTGGATAGAAGGGGCTCTAACTTTTTTCTTTGTTCCTTTCCTACCTTAATCTTAAAAGATCTCTATATCCTTCATTGGTTCCTTATCTGTGAGCTGGCAATATTTTTTTCTGGATATCTGATTGCATTCCTTTTTGCTACAGTTTGGTTCATTTCCCTTTGTTCAGTCCTTGGTAGGGAAGAACAGCTGGTCCCCGCATTCTTCTGCAAGGCCCTGCAAGGACTTGACCTCTTTATCCGTCTTCTCTCCTCCAATGCTGCTCAGCCCTGGGACCATGATCTGAGGCCCAGCTGCTTCCATCATGGGCTTGTGTCCCAGCTCTGAACCACTGTTGCTCACCTCCTTGCCCTTCACTCACAATCTGGCTTCAGGAGATCACTTACCGCTTGATGTTGCCAAACATCTGGGCATGGCCCAGGAAGCGGCCAAAATCAATGTGGAACATGTGACCAGTGGTCTTCAGCATGATGTTGTCATTATGTCGGTCACAGATGCCCAAGACGTACGTGGCCACGCAGCAGCCAGCGCAGGAGTAGATAAAGTTCTCCACAGCCTGGGAGGGGTCAAGGCAGATGGGAGGAGAGGACATAAAGCTGGCTTGGAAGGACTCCAGGGGCCACAGCCAGACAGAACTCAGCCAGCCCTGGCCTCTCTCTCTTCTGTGAACCCCAATAGTGTCTCACATCTGCCTGTTCATCCTTCATCATGTACTAACTTACACACTTACACACACAGAAACATCTCCCATGTCTTATGGAAAAGATGGAGATTTATATGTATATCTTCACCACTTCATCTGAATACCATCTTCTCCTTTCTTTCTCCTAGGGAGATCGGTTGGAAAGACAGTGGACTGATCCAAGAGCCCAGTCTTGATCAGCCCAGACTGAGGGGACCTTAAGAGATGGGAAGACTGACATTTACAACTTCCCCAACTGGCCGTGATGATCTTAAGTACAGCCACTGAGGAAGCCAACTTAAGAATCTCTTCCTGACCCTGCTCAGAATTCTATCATCCTTCTTCCTGCCCCAAATAAAATTCCCATTTCCAGAGTTCTTGGTAACAGCTAAATGCTAATCTAATTAAAGTCACTGCACTCCAAAGAAGAGCTGAGGCAGCTTAACACGTCTAGAGAGTGTTTTACACTTGAAAATGGGACATCTTTAGTTGGTAAAATATGTTAGAGATATTTCTGAGTTTAAAGCAGGAGAGGAGTGGTGAGGGGTTGACTCCATCTTATTTTGTCTGGTCAACATCCATCCCCTTATCTGTCTTTCCAGAAAGAAAAACTACATGGAATGAGGAAATAGACCACTCCTGCCTTCAAAATCCTCTTCGTGAGGTTTATAGAATTCCTAAGAACTCAGGAAAGACATCAGCAGAGAGCAATGATCGTCATAGCCAGGTAGGAATGCATGAAATTAGGAATGAGGGAAAGCTTACTAGATATGGAATGCCCGCCCTCCTTGCCTCCTTCCATAAATTTCCACCCATCATCCTTCAATGACCTTGAGTCCCATAACTTTCCAGACCTTCCAAGCTCATACTGACTTCTCCTCCTCTGAACCCCTACAGATGCACTGTCACCTCCATTCATACAGCACTGACTTTGCCCTTTCAGTCCCATGGGGTTTACAGATCTGTTCTCCTAACAGCTTCTTGCCTATTTCACAATGCCTATTGCAAAACTAGCTCCACACAGAATGCACCCACCCAGCTACTTGTCGAATTACAACCTGATGATGGATCCACCAGAAACTAAGAATGGAAAGGTTATAAAGAAATCACAGCATTCATCTTCTGGAAGAAAAAGACTATTTCTTAGAAAGTAAAATAAATGAATAAAAGCACTTAATAAGGAGCATAACGCGTAACTCCCAGTCGTGACCTGGATCTCTATCAAATCCTCTCCCTGTCACAGATGCTCTTTCTACCTTAAATGAATCCTATTTTGGCTGAGAAAATAGCTGTGTGCCTGTGGGTAAATGACTAAACTCTTTTCACCTCCCTAAGTTATGCAGGGTGTTAGCCACTTACTGGCAAGAAGTCTCACTCTATAAAGGGACACTCTGCCTCTGATTTCAGGGGTTTCATGTGTAGGGTGTGGGATACTCTCTTGCTGAGTAGGTGGCCAAGAGAAAATACCTCTAGTTTCTTTCTTCTGGAAGTCATCAAATGAAACTACCAGCATTGCTGGGGGTGGTGGCTCATGCCTGTAATCCCAGCACTTTGGGAGGCTGAGGTGGGTGAATCTCTTGAACCCAGGGGTTCAAGTCCAGCCTGGGCAACATGGCAAAACCCCATCTCCACGAAAAATAGAAAAATTAGCTGGGCATGGTGGCACATGCCTGTAGTCCCAGCTACTTGGAAGGCTGAGTCAGGAGGATCACATGAACCCAGGAGGTGGAGGTTGCAGTGATTGTGCCACTGTATTCCAGCCTGGGTGACAGAGTGAGACCCTGCCTCAAAAAAAAAGAAACTACCAGCATTATTCTTGGAGAAAGGCTAGAAGGGCAGAGAAGCTATCTTTGAAAGACTGAGATTAAACATGAACATGCAGAGTTAGTTTCTCTCTGTGTGTATTCTCGTACATTCTTCTGTACATTTATTTTTATTATATTCTTATACATTCATCTGTACATTTATTATTATTTAGTATTATTTCCATACATTTACACATATATGACTATTACATTGGCAGGGAGTAATCACAACTCCAGCACCTAGTACAGTGCCTCTGCATATGGGTGTTTAATACCTGAAAAATGCATATTAGCATAAAGAGTAAGTATATGGGAGGTTGGTAGTAGAAAGGAAAAAAATCATTACTCCTCTCCAAGGGTAGAGGGCCTTGAAATGTATAGCATAGAGTGGCAGAGTTTTGAGGAATGAGAAGGGAAGAAATGACTTTCCAGGCAAAGGAAATATTACTGCCTACAGTACTGCAGAAATGAAAGTAGTAGCCCCCCCTGCCCCCACCGCATGATCTAGCTAGTAACCTAGCTGGAGCATAGGTTAGCATAAGATGGTAGGTTGCAGTGGATGGGATTACAGGAGTCAGCAGGGCTGGATTATAAAAGGCTCTGTGTGCAATGCTATCTGTTAGGATACACAGAGGCTTTGAAGAACTTATCCACACTTAAAAAAAAAAACAACAGCTGGGCACTGTGGCTCATGCCTGTAATCCCAGCACTATGGGAGGCTGAGGTGGGTGGATCACCTGAGGTCAGGAGTTCGCGACCAGCCTGGCCAACATGGTGAAACCCCTTCTCTACTAAAAATATGAAAATTCGCTGGGCATGGTGGTGCACGCCTATAATCCCAGCTACTTGGGAGGCTGAGGCAGGAGAATCGCTTGAATCCAGGAGGTGGAGGTTGCAGTGAGCCAAGCTCGTGCCATTGCACTCCGGCCTGGGCAACAAGAGCAAAACTCTGTCTCAAAACAACAACAACAACAACAAAACACCTCTGAAATCAAGCAGAGGCTGGCTCTAGATGGAGGAGAGGCATTCCAGTGGTTCAGGGGACCGACAGCAAAGAGCTGAACAAAATCAATGGTAACAAAATAGGAAGAAGAGGACAGATTTGAGAGATAGCTGGGAAGAAGAATAAACAGAGCATGGTACAGAAGTGAGATAGAGGGAAGCATCAGGAAGACCGTGGCTTTGGCTTGGGTAAATGCACAGAAAGAGTCACACCATTGACTGATAGCAAACACAAAAAGCAGGTTTCAAGAGGCAAAGGAGAGACAGCAGGCTCAGTTTTGCCTACACCGAGTTTGAGACGTGGGTGAAACGTAGGTGGAAAAGTCCAGCAAGAAGGTGGCTATAGAACCACCTGGAGGAAGGGAAGAGGGCTAGAGGAATGGCTTCGGAGGTCATCAAGATACAGGTGGTAGTTGAAGTAATAAGAGGATGAGCTGGCACAAGAAGAGTGCAAAGAGGGCCCAGCAGGCCAGGAATTAAGCCCCGGGGAACACAAACACTGAAAGCCATTTAAGATCATCTAATTACACATTCACTAAACAATGTTCTGATTATACCTTGGCTGCCCATGCTGGTTTTCCCTCCAGGATAAAGTACATTGATCAATATAAATCAGTATTTGGGTCCCTTGAAGTTAAAATTATACGAATTAGCATTCTGGCCTATAGCCAGTCTCTTGTGAGTTTGGTTATTGTGATTTGTTCCTTCCCAGTGTCCCTACTTTCCTCAACCTAATTAACCCAGAGACTAGAGTTGTGATGCTGGGAACAGGCCACGGACCCTAGCAGGCTACCAGGGCCCTACCACCCAGGAAAGCTCCACTTCTAATCTAATCTTCTTTCATCAGGAACCAGCCAGCCCTGTTTTCACTCGTCTCTGTCTCATATCTAACCTCAATCCTAGCTTTGAGTTACAGCCTTGCCACATATCAGCTCCATAACTAGGAATGAATGAGTGAATCTTAATTCACAGCTATGAAAAGAAGGGGCTGGCATAAAATGATCTCTAAAGTCTCTTCCAACCAACTCTTTTTCTAGAAAGTACCACTGAACCCTCTGAGAACATAAGGGAACCTGAAGAGGATCCACAACTGGGAGGGATACAGATAGGCTCTCAAAAGCTGGCGCCTCCTCCAAGACTTAATCTGCCAGGAGAACTCAGTGAAAGTTTCTCAGTCCAGCATCAGGGGATTTTCTCAGCCAGCTTACAAGAGGCATTTGAGTGAGTCACCCCCAGATATTTGGAGGCACCAGTCAACCAAGAAAGGGTAGGTCCTTCTGCCAACAAAGCTGAGCTGTCCTCTCTGAGCAAGTGCAGGTCTTGTGGTTAAAGAGCTGTGTGCCGGCATCAGGCACACACACACACCAGACGCACTCCCCACCCACAACCCTACCTTCTCATACTCGTCCTCCCCAGGGTTGTGTTTCTGCAGCCAGTCTGCCAGGGGCCGGTCCTTGAACGAGCCGGTCACCCCATGCTCCACCTGGATCTTACGCAGGGTCTCAGCATTAGGGATCATCTCCACCATCCCTGTGAGGGGAGAAATGGGGGTCACGTTCCAGACCAGAATGAAGGGGACTGCAGGGAGAGGACTACAAGGACTGTGCTCATGCTTCCCTATAAATTAAGCTGTAAGGCATTTGGACTAAGTCTGATAATAACAGGAAGAGAATAACCATAGAAAGGAAGGTCATTCCCACATTTCCTATTCCATACTGTGACTTTTTGGTCTCTCCAGTTCATAGCTGCTGCTCCCTTTGTTTTTAGCTTTTACTATGGGAATTTGAAAATATATATAAGAATAAAAAGAATGGTATCATGACTTCACATGTAACTATCACCCAGCTTCAAAAATTGTCAACATTTTGCTAATCTTGTTTGCTAATCACACAACCCTATTTCTCCACTCCCTGCCACCTTGGTTGGAGTATTTTAAAGCAAATCCCAGATACTTTATTTCACTCATAAATATTTCAAGTGTAATTAACAAAGACACCATGCCATTGTCACATCCAAAAAATTAACAATCACTCTTTAATCTAACTCAATCTATATTCAAACTTCCCCCAACTGTCTCTCTCCTTCTCTCTCTCTCTCTATATATATATTTTCACACAGGGTCTCATTCTGTCGCCTGGTCTGAAGTACAGTGGCACCATCATGGCTTACTGCAGCCTCAAATTCCTGGACTCAAGCGATCCATCTGCCTCAGCCTCCCGAGGAGGTGGGACTGCAGGCACATGCCATTAGGCCTGGCTAATTTTTTATAATTTTTATTAGAGATGAGGTGTCTAGGTTGGTCCCAAACATTCCTGAGCTCAAGCAATTCTCCCATCTCAGCTTCACAAAGTGCTGGGATTACAGGCATGAGCTAGCATGTCTGGCCCAAAAAATATTTCCTTACAATTGGTTTGTTTTAATCAGGATCCAAAGTCTACACAATATGCTTGGCTGTCACGGCACCAAGTCTGTTTTACTTTATAACAGTCTTCTCCCATGCCTCCCTTTTAAGGCTATCCCACAGCTTCTCATGAAATAATCTTGCCCTTTTCACTTTCCTGGAGGAGGACACAGTTTGTGTTGGCAATGGGCAGAAGGACAATAAGCAAAGCGGTCCCCTCCTCCACCCTCACCCCTACTCCCAACTGACCTCTGCCCCGGCCGGTGGAGAAGCAGCGGAAGATGACCATGCGCATGTCCAGCCCCTCCTGGACCCAGATCTTGCTCATGATGCGAATCATCTGCAGCGTTAGCATGTCCTGGCGAAGGTCGTCCCCACACTGGATGGAGGGAGAAAGTGACCAGATCTAATCTCCACTACCTCCCCAGCTCTCAGGTCTCCCAAGTGCTCAACCTTGGCCCTAAACTAACAGTGACAGGGAGTTCCCCAGCCTCACACCCCTGACCTGCTCACTCAGCTCACACCAGGTCAAAGATGGCCCAGGAAGCTTCCCAGTTTGCCCATGTGTTGTTCCAGCTTGTCCTGCAATCCCATGGCCCCATCTGAATTAAATTCACGGTCTGCTTCTGCATGCAGCCCCTCTGACCATCAGGCCTTTTTTTTTTTTTTTTTGAGACAGTGTCTCACTTTGTCACCCAGGCTGGAGTGCAGTGGCACGATCTCAGCTCACCGCAACCTCCGCCTCCCAGGTTCAAGTGATTCTCATGCCTCAGCCTCCCAAGTAGCTGGAATTACAGGTGCCTGCCACCACGCCCAGCTAATTTATATATATATATATATATATATTTTTAGTAGAGATGGGGTCTCACCATCTTGGCCAGGCTGGTCTCAAACTCCTGACCTCAAATGATCTGCATGCCTCAGCCTCCCAAAGTGCTGGGATTATAGGCATGAGGCACCACACCCAGGCCATCAGGCCTTTTTTAAACTTGAACGTTTAGACTTTGGATTTGGAACTTGCGCATAGCAAATATATAAGTTACTAAGTCACATGCATGTATTTTGTCTCCCCCATTAGATTATATGCTCTGAGACTATCATTTACTTCTCAGAATTGTGGATACATCAGAGTTAGAAGGGACCTTAGGGTTCATCTAGTTGGACCTGCACCTGATATATTAATTTCCTCTTCAGCAGCCCTGCCACATGGCATTCAGCCTCTGCCTGAATACCCAAGGGACAAGCGGATCACCACCTTACCCAACCCATTGTTGAGGGAGCTCTGCCTCCTAGAAAGCACTTCGGGATACTGAGCTGCCAGTTGCCTCCCTATACCTAACACTCTGTTGTTAGGCCTCTGGGGCCATGCAGAATTCATCTAAATCCTTTTTCACCTGATCATCTTTCCTACATTAAGACAGCATGGAACAGTGGGAAGAGAACCACCCAGGGGCTACTTAATGCCACTCTAGGCTGCCTCCTTCTCTCTCCCACCCTGGTCCACCAGGCTTGAGTAAAGTATTCTCACCTTGAAGATGACACGGATGTTCTCACCCAGGGGATCCACATTTTGGAAGGAGAGTTTGAGGGGGACAGCATTGGAGTTGAAGTAGGAACAGTCCTGCCATGGTGAAAAGATAGTGACGAGGGTCAGAGTGGCCCATGCCAGGAAAGGAAAACGACCTCTCCACTTCAGACCAAGATGCTGCCTCCCCGCTGCTGCCGGTCCACCCAAGACCTGCTCATTGTTTCTTCCGGATTTCCCAGAAACCCAATTTCCTTCCTTCTCTTGTTAAATAGTCATCATCCCAATTCAGTTTGTTATGACCTCAGCTCCAGCACTTAACCTCCCATCCTGTTAGTTCATTCTGCGCACAACTTACTAGTTGTGTGACCTCTGGTAAGTCACATGTCCCATCTACACCTCAGTTTACTCCTCTGTAAAAGGGGACTCCCAATAGTACCAACATCCTAAGAGTTGTGAAGATGAAATGCCATAACCAACATTAAGCACTCAGAACAGGGCCGGGCACAGAGAGTGCTCAATAAATGACAGATGACAGCTGCTATCACCACCACCACCTCCGACTTCATCCCCAACATCATCAGAGAAAGACACCTGCCTAGCCGCCCAACCTCCAACCCAATTCCTCTACCCTGCAAGCTGTCAGGCTTCTAAAAGTCCATACACATTAGGAATGGGAAGAGGCCACAGATATGCCTTTCTTCCTAATCTCTCTCTTATTTTATGGCTTATATGGAGATGCTCACCTGTGCCCATACCCCCGTCTGTGCCCTCATTCTGTCTTTAAGCAGAGTTCACAGCCCCTCTGCCTCGTTTCTCCTTTCTATTTCTGCCATGTGTGGGTAGAGGAGAGA
The DNA here is from genome assembly GCF_000001405.40 of Homo sapiens. Lineage (NCBI taxonomy): Eukaryota > Metazoa > Chordata > Mammalia > Primates > Hominidae > Homo > Homo sapiens. Next base: position 204,442,322 of record NC_000001.11, read on the forward strand.
CAGGATAACATAATCCTCACCATGTTGCATGGGGGTGAGCTGAGACCCCTGAGGAAAAGATGCTAGGCCAAGACCACATGGTAAGTTAGCAACATACTGACGCCCAGACAACTCAGCTCCTCGACCTTGCATGCCTGGTTAGTGAAGACCTCACCTCCACTGAGCCCTCCCACTCTGAGAGCCCCAAACCTACCAGTCACTCACCCTGGGCACAATTCCCTTAACCAGCAGACTGGGGCTGAGTGGCAAGCGGCACGAGCCATTGAGGGCAAAGAACTGCTTCACCTCCTCCAGGCCCGTGCGGAGGATTCCCTGGAAAGAAGGGGAGGAGTACAGCAGGGGTGAAATGGAGGGTCCATACTGAGAACCAGACCTCTCCCAGGGGTGGGTTCTCCGTAGTAGTCGGTATGAAAACCACCCCCTGAGAAGTGTGGACACCCTCCAGAAGATCCTTAAGGAGGAGGACCCCCTACACCCCAGCCTGGGACTGTACGCTAACAGCAAGACCAAATAGCTCTAGAGGGGAGCAGATGGCAGAACAGCATGAAGCAGGCCACAGTGCACAGAGAGGGCAGGCTGTCTCTCAAGGGGGAAGAGCTATTTAGGCTTCTGCCAAGAAAAGCTAACAATCTGGACGTTGATACAAAATCTCTCAATTTTTAAATGTCGTTAACCAGGAACACTGCTGGCTGGTTACAATGTCTTCGTACAAACAGATAAAGGTGTCCTCTCTGGGTGGCATCAGGCCTGAGCCATGGGTCACAGCATGGTGAACAAAATATGGCTGGATTTCAGCCCTCACTTGCCCCTTCTGGCTGAGTGCTCTTGTGCAATGAACAACTTACACAACTGTGCTTAGCCTTTAAAACAAACAGCTAAATAAATTTCAATATTTTACAGGACAAACAAAACACATCCACGGGCTGTATCCAGCTTGTGGACTGCCTGTTTACGGCCTAGTTTCCAGAGTCAGCTGCTCCCCGCTCCAAAATCAAAAATCGTCACGTGGAATCTTGTTGTTCAGGATTCCTAAGAAGAAACTGGCTGCCAAAGCCCTGGATGAGAAATGGGTAGGGGCAGCCTCACCCCACTAACCTGCCTTGCAGATGGGGCTGCCTCCCGGACCTGCTGGGCCAGTTTGGCCAGGGCATTGACAAGCCAGCACTGGCGGTTAAACTCTTCTCTCAGCCCCTTGCCACAGCAGCACAGTAAGGCTGCCAGCAGATACTGGTAGCGGATGCTGAACTGAGAGTCCTTGAGGCCGTCCTTCAGTAACCTGCAAGGCAGAGGGAGTCAGGAGTCAGGGCACTCCAGGGATCAAAGGCAAGGGTACAGGGGGAGACAGAGTCAGGCCCAGCTCCAACTCACTGCAAAACCCACCCCGAACTTGGGAGGGAAAATACATTCTGTATGTACGGCTCATATGGAGATGCTCACCTGTGCCCATACCCCAGTCTGTGCCCTCACTCTGTCTTTAAGTAGAGTTCACAGCCCCTCTGCATCTTGTTTCTCCTTTCTATTTCTGCCATGTGTGGGTAGAGGAGAGACAGGATAACATAATCCTCACTATGTTACATGGGGTGAGCTGAGACCCCTGAGGAAAAGATGCTGGTCCAAGGCCACAGGGTAAGTCAGCACATACTGAAGCCCGGACAACTCAGTTCCTTGCCCTTGCGTGCCTAAGAGTGAAATACTCCTACGTGAAAGACACGTGTCTACCTCCCACTTTTCTACATGCAGTTTTACCAGAAGAAGTAGTGAGTCACTCTCAAGTCAGACACAGCTCGTTTCAGGAGGAAGCGCACCAACGGGCTGTCCAGGTAGCATTCATACTTCAGGGCCTGTTTCGGAGAAAGGGAGAAAGAGAATATGAAGCTTCATTAACTGCCTGTAACCTACACTTATTATTATTGCACTGGGATCTCTGGTTTCTAAGGGGCAGAATGCAGACTCACTTGGGATACTGGGGATGGGACCAGCAAAACTGGAGGGAGGACCAATCCACCCACCTGTACCAGCTGGGGCAGGTAGTCTAGCAGCTCAGCATCTGAGAGTGAGCCAATCCACTGCACAGCCATACGACGCACCTCCTGGTCCGGGAAGCTGCAAAACAGAGCCCAGTGCCCTGACAACCTAGCTGCAAGTTGAGGCACAGCTGTGAGCCCAGCACCCTCACACCTGGGCTTCAGAGGCATGGAGAAAGAAAATGCAATGGCCCTAGATTCTGCTAAAGTCACTAGAAGAATCCTTAGCAACTTCCCTGGATAGCAACCCTTGGGAATGAGCCTTCCTCACGGTCAGAGTCTGCCTTGAGCCATGGGGGAACAACTAGGTAGCCACTCTCACTCCTTGGAGGATTTAAAGAAAATGGGACAAAGTCCTCAACCTTACTCCAGAGATTTCTCCCTTGACTCCCACTGTGCCAGAAATTCCTGCCATTGGAGGGCCCTGATGTGGGTAAAAGCATTATTTTGTCTTGTTAACATCCTTTAATGCAAAATGTACCACGCAAATAACAGAAAATCACAGTATTTTATATAAGCCAATAAACCTTGGCAGAATTAGTTTAGCAGAGATTAACAAAACCATTGGCTCAAAAACTCCTTAAGGCAGGTCACATGGATAGGTACATTTTGATTACTGAGAGTGGCGAGAAATAAGCAGGAAATCCTGGGTACCATCTAGAAAAGGCAGCCCTAACAGATCTAAGACTGGAAGCCTTGGGTCCCAAGAGAACCCTTCAAGAGAAAGAGGGAATGGGCAATGATTAAAATAAAACTAAGTAATAAGGATTTCAGTTACACAGGCGTATGCATTTGTCAAAACTCAGCCAATGTACAGGTAAACTTTGGGTATTTGCTTATGTATAAATGTTGCCCCAAAAGAAAAAAAAAAAAAAACAGAACAAACATCGAGCTCTAGTTAATGATGTGCATGCCAAAGCAGGGAGTTTAATGGTGTCTGTAATTTACTTCAAAATGTATAAAAAGGCTGGGCATGGTAGCTCACACCTATAATCCCAGCATTTTTGGGAGGCCAAGGAGGGAGCATTGCTTGAACCCAGGAGTTTGAAACCAGCCTGGGCAACATAGTGAGACTTTATCTCTACAAAAAAATTTTAAAAATTAGTCAGGTGTGGTGGTGTGCACTGTGCACTTGTTGTTCCAGCTACTTGGAGGCTGGGGCAGGAGGAGTGCTTGAGCCCAGGAGGTCGAGGCTGCAGTGAGCCATATGCATGCCACTGCACTCCAGCCTGGGTGACAGAGCAAGACCCTGTCTCAAAAAAAAAAAAAAAAGCATAAAAAATAAGATGGATAGATGGATGGATACAGTGATGGATAAATGAAATGTACACAATCCAGCACACAGAGCAAATGCTAACAATAGAATCTAGGTGGTAGGCACATGGGTATTCACTGTACAATTTTCAATTTTGTTGTATGTTTGAAAAATGACAATATAACATTGAAGGGAAAATGAGAAAGAAAAAGCAAAAAGGAGAAATGGAAAATCCCTGAATATCCACACCCACTTTACCATTTTCCCCAGGGCTGGCTCAGATCACTGATGGGCAGTGTCGTGCCCTGGCTTCTACAAGAACACATAGTCAGAAAAGGCAGATGTTACAACTCACGTGGCATGCAGGAGCCCCAGGGCATCCTGGTGGTTCATGTGGGTCCACTGCTTCAGGAGAACATAGATGTCAGGCAGGCAAGCCCACTCCCAGCTGGGGGCGCTGGCGAGCACCAGGGGGAGCGAGCTCACCTCCGAGTGGCAGTAATATCGCTTCTCCCACAGGCGCTTCTTGTCAGCATCAGTGAGCCTGGTGGGCACACGGAAAGGAGAAGGTGGTGGGAGGGTAGGGGGCAGTGAGAGAGAACAGCATCAGCCAGGGGGTGCAGCCCTTACCCTCAAGGGAGTGCTGCACACACTGCAATTCAGCGGTTCCCAAGCTTTGCTGCATATGACACCCACTTGAGGGGCTGAGTGAACCCCCTCGCCATGCCTGGGTCACACCTGATACCAGTTAAGTCCAAATGGCTGGGGAAGCCAGGCATCAGTCTATGCCACAGATCACCAGGTGATTCCAATATGAATCAAAGTTTGGGAACCAGAGCCCAAATCCTATCTTTGATCCCAACTCAGGGACATCTTGGATGGAGAATGCATGGGCCAAGGGCACCGAATCTGCTACCCCTCCTGCGGATGCCCTGAGGGCACCACGCTCAATAGAACCACCAGAGGGCAGTGGTCCCCCAACACCAGGGTCTGTGCTGCTGAGAGGCCTCCTGGGGCCTCCAGGGACCAGCTGTCGGCTTTCAAGGACCTGCAGCTAATTGGGCCTTGCCTGAGATCAGGTGTCTAATGGGAGAAGGGAGCTGAGGGTCTAATGAAGTGTAGTCGGCAGAGTGGGGGAAGGGAGGTCTGCGGTCGCTCAGCTACTCCAGCTACTTGGGGTGGACATCAGGGACAGAGATGAGCCCCATCTCTCTCATGCCCCCACACACACAACACACGCACAGGGCTGCGCAGGAGCCAGAGAGGTAAACAGAGAGCAGACAGCGGAACCAGGTCCCTCCAGCTCCTCCAGTTCTGTTCTCACCCCTCCTTCTCCAATCCTGTGAAAGCAGCAGCCCCAAGGATGAGATCAGCCTGGACTCACGTACCCCTGAGAGCTGCCAGCTTGCCTTGACACCTGATCCTTTTTGGAAAGTGACAGGGCCAGAAAAATTCAAAGGCTGTTGGTGTGGAAGGGGCAGGAGGTGAGAGCAAGAGGTGGGGGCAGGGTGGTGGGGCCAGCTGCCCCAGTGGACAGAAGGTAGTAGATAGCACATCTGGGATGTGGGGCAGAGCTCTGGTCCTCCTGGGTAGCTGAGTCTGGACCAAGTCCCTGGGGTGGGGACTTGGGTATTCTCAGATCTAATTTCCTGACCTTGACCTCTCCACTTTTCCTAGTGTCAGCTGATGGAGAAAGGCCTGGGGGCTGCCTCCACTTCCTGCTGAGATGGCAATGCCCACCCCTTCCCACCTCCACTCCCAAAGCAGGAGGACGGAGACTCAGTGCTGGGAGGTCAGATGAAACATGACAGATTCAGTGGGGGCCCGGGTCTCACCAGTACAAGGACTCTTTCTGCATGATGTCTTTAAGCTTGCGCTGGTCTTCTTCCCGGAGGCTGCCAAACTCATAGCGGGGGCTGAACTTGTCTCCAGGGGGGCTGGTGAACTTGATGTCAAAGGCCGAGGTGGGGAAGTCAATCTGGGGGATGAGATCAGGGATGTGAGGAGAGAAAACAGGCAGCGTGTGTGGACTCCCAGCTTCTTTCTCTCACCCCAGCATTCCGGCCTTGTCCCTCCCTCACTTTCCCTCAGGTTCTTTGTAAAATAGCCCTGTTAGACTTGGTGATCTCTAAAGTCCTTTCCAGCTATAACTCTCAGCAAAAAATGAGAGGGAAACAAAAAGAGAAAAAGAATGGACATGTGAGGAAGAGGTTCGGTGGAGATGCACCTTGGTGAGGGGTGAGGGGACAAGCCCCAGCCAGAACTCTGAACAGAGGTGTCACCCAGCTGAAACACGGGGTGCATCCAGGCTGAGTCCGGGGTGACTTCCATGGGGTGCCAGAGGACACTGCTGCCAGAGGGGAGGCAAGACCACACACTGGGAGAAGGCCCTGGGACACTCGGTCCCTACTCTATGCCACCAGATGTTCATCCTACTAAAGTATCAGAGCTGAGTGAGCCAAGTCTCCAAAGGAGGTCTACTTTCTTTCATTCAAAAAACTTATTTATTTATTCATTTATTTATTTATTTTGAGACAGAGTCTTGCTCTGTCACCCAGGCTGGAGTGCAGGGGTGTGATCTCGGCTCAGTGCAACCTCTGCCTCCCCGGTTCAAGTGGTTCTCATGCCTCAGCTTCCTGAGTACCTGGGATTTACAGGCACCCGCCACCACACCCAGCTAATTTTTGTATTTCTAGTAGAGACAGGGTATCACCATGTTGGCCACTCCTGACCTCAAGTGATCCCCCTGCCTCAGCCTCCCAAAGTGCTGGGATTGCAGGCATGAGCCACCACACCCAGCCTCATTCAACAAATATCTATTGAATCCTAACATGTGCCAGGCATTTTCTAGAGTCTGGGCATAAAGCAGCAAATAAGACAGACAAAAATTAGCCGGGCGTGGTGGTGTGCGCCTGTAGTCTCATCTACTCGGGAGGCTGAAGTGGGAGGATGATTTGTGCCTGGGAGGCAGAGGTTGCAGTGAGCCAAGATTGTGCCATTGCATTCCAGCCTGGGTGACAGAGATCCTGTCTCAAAAAAAAAAAAAAAAAAACCTGCCTCAGGGAGCTTTCATTCTATGTCAACATTCATACTCCATACCAAAGTATCTCATAACCACAAGAAGGGGAAGCTGGGAACTGAGAAGTGCACCTTGGGCGTGACCAGCTCCTCCTCTTCTCCCTGGAGAATAGGTCCATCCTGCCAAAGCACTGAGTCACTGGCAGGGGCAAAGGTGTCCCCTCAGGCCCCAAGAGGACCCAGGTCAGGTTTGATCAGACTTAGACGTATGAAGATTCAATACAAGGGACTCAGAAGCTGAGCCCTGAATGCAGAGGGTCTCAGACCCCATCTTCAGGCTCCACGAAATCAATTTAACCTCCAGGAGATGGGAGATGGATACCCCAGAGCTCACCTCACAATCCACATCTAACCATATTCCCTCAGTTGCTTCAGTCACATCATCCTCCCATGCTTGAAGTTCTAGCACTCTCTCCTGCTGTCCCAGCCCAAATCTCCAGGAGAAAAATGTAGAGTTGACTGGAATGGTCTTGCTGGTGACTGGGAGGGAAGGGCTAAAGCCTCACCTGCAGGATGACACTGTCTGGCTGGTGGAAATTAGGTGCACTCCAACGGGCGCTGGGATTTTCCTGTGTTGCTGGCCACAAACCCAGAAGCTTCCGGCCACAGGTCAGGACCCTAAGAAGGAGGGAGAGTGGGAAGAGCTGCTAAAGTGGCTAAGCAGAGAATATTTCTACTGCTCCCCCAATCCAAAAATCTGCCTTTTCTGTTTGAAGCCATCATCCAACTCCCCTCTCATTCTCACCGTGGACCATAGCCTCTTCCTTCTCCCAAGTCCTGTAAAAGCTTACGCCCTCCAAGAGGACTTGTGAGCTAACCACACCCTGGTCTGGATGACCTGGTGGCAGGGATGCCTTCATGAGGTGGGGAGGCTGGGCTAGATGACCTCTAAGGTTCTTCCAATGACAAGACCAGATGATCTATTACCCAAGCATTGCTTTTCCATGTATCCTTAACATGGTCCTGTGCCACCAGAACCGCTCAGTGGCTCTTGGTTACATCAATAGTCCTGGTCACCAGTTCTGTGCTTGGGGATCCTCTGGACTTCACCAGTGAGCCCCACATGGCCAACTCTCCCAAGGCGCACTGGCCAGTGCAGCAGCCAGGCCCCTTTCTCTGTCCCCCTCCTCCCCTTCCAAGGCCAAGAAGCTGTACCCTGGGGCTCACATACTGCCTGAAGTTGAAGAGTGGGGTAGTGACCCAGCCCAGGGCTTCAGGCACCCGCCGCTGCTTATTGGCCTCTGAGGAGCTCCCCGGTGGGGGGATGGGCAGAGCATAGAGAGTGGCACACAGCAGTGTCTCCCGAGGCAGCCGGTTCACCTGCACTGGGAAGCAGATCCTATGGAGGACAGGAAGTCAAATTAGGAGGGGCCACTCCTGTGGCTTCAAGCAACAGGTGGCCCAGGAAGTCAGGCTGAGGCTGAGGCTGAGGATACAGCCTCCCTCTCAGGGTTCAGACATACTCCCTGAGGAAGCCCTCCTCCTGCAGAACCAGGAGAGGTCCCAAACTAGGCAAAACCCCCACTGGATGTTCCCAGAAGCACAATGTGGTGTCCTTGGAGCTTTGCAGTAGAGTGAGGCGAACATCCCGATTTTGAAGCTACCCGTGGTGCCTGGACAGAACTTGCTTAGCAGAGCCACCTCGGAGTTCAGGTGATGACACGTCCCATGTTGTCAGCCTTGCTCCTTTCCTTGTTTTAGGATTTCCGCAGAGGGTCCGCAAAGCTACTCCTTTTGTCCTCCTTTTCCATTTGACAGTCTCCATCCCTCCCCCACTTCTTGCTGCTGAGAGCCACCAGGAAGAAGCACCATGTTCTCTGCCCTCGGTTCACCCTCCCCCACAGCCCTCTCACTTGTCCTCATAGGAGTCCCCTTCACCTAGCCCCAGGGACACACACTGGGTTTTTCTCACCCCCACCCCCAAACAGCTTCAAAGCCAAAGGGACAAAGAGGAGGGGTTTCTCCAAGTACCCCAGTGGTGAGAAAGCCAATGGCAGGGCCAAGAGAACTGAGACACATAAGCCCCACCACTATTCAAGCCCATAAGTTCTCTCCAGGTCCCTCAGTCTGAATCACACCTAGCCACTCCCTCTAAGCTCAGGATAAGGAACTGCTGGGTGGGGTGAAGTACACAGGGGAGGGGAGCTGTGGAAAGGCAGGGAGGACCCACGTTACCTTTCGGGGAAGCTGTCCCTGGGCCAAAGTCCATACTGTCACACCCTCCTGGCCAGCCCAGGGCCCAGCAACTTCTATGCCAGAGGGCGCAGAGGCAGGGCGGCCACCCCCAAGGTTGGCAGTTTCATGATAAAGCAGCCTGCCTCCACCGCTGTCCTCCAGAGGAATCTCCACCTAAGTGAGGCACTCCCTCCAGCCCACCACAGACTGGCAGAGCCCTGCTCTGTCCCAGCTGCCTCTACCCTGGGGGCCCACAGCTATAATTAGGGCCCCTCCAGCAGCCAGCAGACATGCCAGGCCAGGGCTTGGCTGGAGGTGACAAAGCACGGCTGCTGAGCCTATTTTGAGAGTTAGCTGATCCCTGGACCGCTACAGTGGGGCAGAGAATCAGCTGACCCCATAGCAAAGGGGAGAGGGAGCTGGTCCTGAGCCCTTTCTTTTCACCCAAGGAAGAAGCTTCCAGCTTCGTGTCTTAAGGAAAAGGGGAGTGAGAAGACTTTATGAGTGAAACCAGAGCCAGCCAAGGCCCTCTTCCCTTCAGTCCTTGGGTATATCTGGTATTCCACAACCTCTCCCACAGATCTTCACCCAGGGCTGGTCAGGATAACCATTATGTTGGCTGCAGCCCTTACCTTCCTCCCTGAGAAGCCCCTCTCCTTCCTGCAGCCCATTCAACAACCTCATATCACACAGGCTGCCTCCTCCAGGAAGGATTCCTGGAATGTGCTGGTTGGCTCCAGTCCCGGTTCTGCCACTCACAATCCTGGGCAACTTAATTCCCATCTCTGTGCCTCAGTTTCTCATCAGGGAAAAGGGGAACATAGCTTCACTTGCATGATGTGTGTGCAGACTGTGTACTTTTTGCTATGTGATGCTGTGGTTACTGCACTGGCACTGGCTTATACAGATAGTATTTTCATGCGCACGTATCCCCATGTATCAGCCAGTCTGTCAGTCACTTGGAACAGAGAAACCAAAACCAAGAGGGCTCCCCAGCTAAGAAGCCTGTGCCAAGTACTTTATTTACAGTGTCCTAACTGCTCCTCAAACAATCCTGTAGGGTAGGCCCTATTATCGCTACCATTCTAGGTTGAAAGACCTGCCCCAGGCTGCAACTACAGTAGGAAGGAGAGAATGACTGGCCCAAAGACTGTCCTCTGAACGCTGGCACGCCTTCCCCCAAATGTCCTGGTCTTGACCATGAAGGGCCAAGAAGTCTCATTCGGGGCTTCTGGATGGACAGTGCAAGATAGTGCCCTTCACAAGGCGCTAGGCAGGGGACTGCCCCTTTAAAATTCAAGGTGGGGATCTCAGGGAACAAAATGAAACTCATGGGGCAGGCTGGGCTGCCTCTCTACCTCTGATACTGTATGAGTAAAGGGTTTAAGGCCAATTTTTTAAAGTTCCTCCTGGGCCAGAACACTGTGCAGCACCCTTTTTTTTTTTTTTTTTTTTTTTTTGAGACAGGGTCTCGCTCTGTTGCCGAGGCTGGATACTCACTGCAGCCTTGACCTCCCAGGCTCAAGTGATTCTCCCACCTCAGCCTCCTAAGTAGCTGGAACCACAGGTGTATGCCACCACACTTGGCTAATTTTTTGTATTTTTTGTAGAGATTGGGTCTCCCTTGTTGCCCAGGCTGGCACCCCTTCTCTTGACAGCAGCAGTAATTGTGACCAAAAAATCCCAAGGGAATGGTGGAACTCAAGGGCCATTTAATGCAGCTATCCTCTGCCTGCAAGGAGTTTCTCCTGTCCTGGCAGTTGTTTGCTTGAGGACCTTTAATGCACACCCCATGTCCTTTTTTTTTTTTTTTTTTTTTAAGATAGGGTCTCACTCTGTTGCCCAGGCTATAGTGCAGTGGTGTGATCATGGCTCACTGCAGCCTCGACCTCCCAGGCTCAAGTGACTCTCCCACCTCAGCCTCTTAAGTAGCTAGGACTACAGATGCACGCCACCACACTCAGCTCATTTAAAATAATTTTTTAGTAGAGATAAGGCCTCTTTGTGTTGCCCAGGCTGGTCTCAAATTCCTGATCTCAAGTGATTATCCCGCCTTGTCCTCCCAAAGTACGGTGAGACTACAGGTGTGAGCCATCGTGCCCAGCCATATACACCTTTATTGCTCTAAGAATTACCTAAGTGTGAAGGGCATGAGAAAGGGTCCATTTTCCCAGTTGTCCATCTGTAAAAGGACCCACCTCTTCCAGCATCTCCAGATTCTTCATCTACCTATTTTGCATCCTCGGCCTCCCCAGGACCCTCCTCAGTCTCTTTAATCTGTGCTACAAATACTTAGCTTGCAGTGCTGCTCTGCAAATGAGGACTCTAATATAGTCAGTGTGGGGAAGCAAAGCCGGGGGCAGCAAACAGGGGATTTTCTGACTGACTGGAAGGAAGGTAGAGCATAGCACAGATGAAGCACAGGGCAGGAAAACCCCTGCGGTGCCCCCATTCAAGCAAGGCACCCTCTCCTCCGTTTCCTTCCTGCTTTGCTTGGCTGACGCCTACCTTCCCGACACCAAATTATTGTTTACATGTGGTGATTAATATTACCTTGTGCTTTTGGTTTCATATTTATATTTATAACCCACCTATCTCATCTCGACGCCATAACTGCCTCTGAGTGAAACCAATGTCCCCATTTCTCAGTTTGAAAAAATGAGGCACAGAAAGAATAGAGAGAAAGTAGTATTCGAGACAGAGCTAGAAATAGAGGCTCACTCCTGGGAATCCAAGCTCAATATTCTTTCTCTAGACAACCCTCCCTTCTCTATATATAAAGGGAAAAGCACAGTCTCCTCTCCATAGTCTACAGGAACTGAGGGAAGAAGGGAGAGGATGAGAAGCCCTCCAACTAGTTAAACTCTTTAAGGGAGACAAGATCAAAAAATAAAGTATTATTAAAATTAACAACTAACATTTAATTTTTTTTTTTTTGAGACAGAATTTCGCTCTTGTTGCCCAGGCTGGAGTGCAATGGCACGATCTCAGCTCACTACAACCTCCACCTCCCGGGTTCAAGCGATTCTCCTGCCTCAGCCTCCCTAGTAGCTGGGATTACAGGCATGCGCCACCATGCCCGGCTATTTTGTATTTTTTTTAGTAGAGACGAGGTTTCTCCATGTTGGTCAGGCTGGTCTTGAACTCCCTGCCTCAGGTGATCCGCCCGCCTCGGCCTCCCAAAGCGCTGGGATTACAAGCGTAAGCCACCGCGCCTGGTCAACAACTAAAATTTATATGTTTTTTATGGTTTACAAAGAGCCTTTATAGATACTTCTCATTGGATCCTCATGACAACTTGAGAAGTGGTAATTATACTTGGCTCCTTTAAGAGTCAGGGAAGTGGAGGCCAGGCGTGGTGGCTCACGCCTGTAATCCCAGCACTCTGGGAGGCCGAGGCGGGCAGATCACGAGGTCAGGAGATCGAGACTATCCTAGCTAACACATGGAAACCCCATCTCTGCTAAAAATACAAAAAATTAGCTGGGCGTGGTGGCGGGCGCCTGTAGTCCCAGCTACTCGGGAGGCTGAGACAGAAGAATGGCGTGAACCCAGGAGGCAGAGCTTGCAGTGAGCCGAGATCGCACCACTGCACTCCAGCTTGGGCAACAAAGCGAGGCTGCCTCTCAAAAAAAAAAAAAAAAAAAGAGTCAGGGAAGTGGAGACTCAAGAGGTTGAATGACTTGTCCAGTTAGGGTTAACAAGGAGCCTGGTTTTATCATTAGTCCTGGACTAGTTATCTGGCCCCAGGGATATTTCAGAGGCTGAGCAGGTCTACAGTGGCCTGGGCACTGAAGCCTGGGGGAAGGGCTTACTGCTGGTCCCAGACGATGAGGTGGAAGAGGTACTTGGAGAAGTGAGCTCTTCGGGTCTGCAGGGGGCTGCACAGCTCCTTGCCGCCATGGCTGAGGGAGCAGGAGAGGTAGAAATCTTCATAGCTATAAAAGAAAGGGAGCAGGTCAGGACACCCAGCTCCCAAAACCAATCACCCAAACCTATGCGTCCCTCTAAGGCCAAAATCCATTTCCCCTGGTAAAACTCTCAGTCTCTGAGGGCTGTAACACAGGATCTCCGGATAGGACAGCCAAACTGGATGTAAGGAAATGTGCTCAGGCCAAAGCAACTCAATCTAGATTCCTCTGCTCGGTTTTAGGCTCCATTCTGAGCCTTGTTGTTTTTCTTCCTTTAATGGGAACTGGCCACCCAGCCTCTTTATAGAAAGCTCCAGCCCATGGAGCGTCTGTGTGTGCGTGCGTGTGTGCGCGTGCACGTGCATGCGCAAGTGAGAAGGGTGGGGGAGGAAGACGACATATGCCGACATGAATGCCAACACACGGGGGTCCCTGTGGCTCATGACAGGTGCCTGACAGAAGAGGTCAGAGAAGGCCCCGGTTTCCCAGGCTGCCTCCTTTGTTCTCTGCCAATCGCCCAGAGGAATACATTAAGTAAGGAACAAAGAGAGAAGGGGAAGGGGGTTGGGGAAAGGGGACCGGCAGGGGCGGGGTAGGGCCCAGTGCCTATTCCCTCAGGCCTTGGATGCTGGGGACCCAACAGAGGCGCTGAGGATTTTACCAAAAGAACATCCTCCTCCACCCACCCCTGCAGGCCTAGAGAACCCCAGACAAAGGGTCAATCCCACCTCCCCACCCCCTCCCACTGGCCAGGGAGCGTGCACTCTATCTGGGAATCGGCCATCTGTTGCCATGTCTCCTTCCACTGGTCTTGGATCTGGAGGGGGCAGGGATGCAGAGGCAGCCAGCACCAAGAGGGAATAACAGGATCTTCTTCATCTCCTAAGGGACCTCCTCTCTCCTCTAGGATGTCCCCAGCCCAAGTCCTCCTCAGGCACTTGGCTCACCCCCGCAGCCCCATTGCACCACAATGTCACACAATGCCACACATCCTAAGACTTAGGACAGTGGTATTACATGCAGATAGGAAAAAGCCCTGGTGGAGGTCAAACTCAGCTTGCTCCCTAGCGGCTACTCAGCCCTGGGCTCACCTGGTAGCCCAGATGATGGGGATGCGGTGGGTGGCATAGACAGTGAAGGCCAGGGACCTGGCGAAATGGCAGGCCTCCTGGACCAGGTCATGCTTGCGGCTCCCGGGCACTGCCGTCTGGAAGTCTGCGTTGAATGTGTTGCAGTACAGCTCCACCAGGTCCAAGATGGCAGCGGTCAGGGCTTCCACGACCTTCTCTGGGAAGGGAAGGGGTCAGAAGGGAAAGTCATGAGGCCTCCACAAGCCCTACCTTGTTGCCATGGCATTGGCTAGAATGGGATGGCCTAAGACAGTGGTCCCCAAATGCTAGTCAGTCTCTAATAGCTGTGACAAAGTTCACCCATCTGCGGTAAAATGAGAAAAAAGCAGAAGCATGTCATGAGCTTTTCATAAAATGACAGTTATACAATGTTAAACATAATCCTTATTTTTACGTATTGCTACTTAGCATTAAAATGTCCTTTCTTTTAGGAAACAGTGTTAATAATTATTGTCAGTTGCTTCAAAAAAGCAAAAGTCAAAAAAGTTTGGCCAAGTAAAAGGCTGCCAATTCTCTCTTGGTCCCCCAAATACTTTGGGGGACATTTTACTGGTCTATGAAATCCAAAAGACTGGGAATCACCATAAGAATCCCAGGGATGCCAAAACAAAAAACAAAACCAAAACAAAGGAATCCCAGGGATATAGGTCAGTCTTAGGGCAAAGTTCAGCTTGAAGGGCACAACAGGGGAATCCTAGAAAAATCGTAGGGAAAATTCTTTCTCATCCTCTCCCAAGGCCCACTCTAAATCGGAAAGGTAGCAAGTGTGAGCTGTTGGGAGAATAATCACAATCTACCCAAGTGGGAGGCTTCCCATCTGGATCACAGGGCTAGTGCTGCCCCACCACCCCACTCCCACACTTCTACCCCCTCATCATCATCTCCCAGGGACACCAGGAGGAATGACTAGGAAAAATAATAAGAAAACACTTTGTGGAAAGAAATGTGCTCTCCAGCTGTATCCACACCTCATATAGGAACACACACACACACACACACACACACACACACACCCACACACACACACACACCAGCCGAACTCCGACACATAAATCAAGGGGCCCAGGCAGAAAAAGGAATCGGGGCAGAGACTGCAGTTTTCGGCAGCCCGACTGGATGAAGATGGAGAGCAGTTCCCTTACCTCGGTTTTCCCTCACAGCCAAGACACTGGGATCCTGTTGGGAAAAAGAAGAGGGAGGGGAGCTTCAGGGCCATAGCCTTTTTCGTCACAGCTGGAAGAAGGGCTTTTCACAGCTGCGCTCATCTGGACCAGAATGGGCTGAAATGTGAGTAGCTGAGAATCCCCAGAGAGGAGAGAGTAATGGTTTGTACCAGATCTGTATGATGGACAGAGTGAGCTGACGGAGGATAGCAATCATCGGGTCCACCCTTCTGAGATATCCCAACCCTCAGGCTACTCGGCTGCAGATCACAGTGCCTATGGTGCTGGCCCTGTCTGCAGAGCACACAGCCCCTGCTGGAGTCCTGGAGCCCCTGGCTCTAGAGAGATTTTCCTCCTGGTTTGTTTTTGCACCCTGATGGATATGCAGACTGTCAGGCAATGCCTTGGTGACTGTGAATAAAGCCTTTACTGGCCTGGGCTCTCAACAAGCAGTCCCAGGTAGCTCTCCCTCAACCTCAGGAAGAGGAGACACACTTGGCATCCATTTCTGAAGAGCTCTTGCGGTTGAATTCCTTAAACATAAAAGATGGAGGTGGAGAGAAGCCCCTTTTTAGTGAGTGAACACCTACACACTCTAGCAACAGGCAACTCAGTTACCTGACAGTATCCCTCTCTTCCTTTCCCCTGCTAGCACCCTGGGCCCCTTTACCTTCTGAATTTTAGGCTGCATGCGGGAGGGGCAGGGGGGCAGCTGGTTGAGAGCACTGGTGATCTCAGGGGTTTCCACGGCGGCCAGGGCGTTGCAGATGGCCTTGACGGACTGGACCACCCTGTCAGCCTTCAGTGGGAAGTCTCCCTGTGGGAGGTGGCACAGTGAGGCTGGCAGGCTCTGCTCTCATGCTCTTGGTCTCCAACCCCTCCCCACCCCAGTCTTTAAAGGAAAGGGTTGGGAAGAGTAGAGAGATTCATGATCCTCAGGGGTAAATGTGCAATACATTTTATTTTCAAATATTCATCATCAGCAAATAATCTCTCCCACTGAATTCAATGGGCCATGCCCACATGCCCCAATTCTTTCAGCCGTTCCCCTTGAAGCTCCTCCTATCTCTAGCCTCTCTCTATAGTTAGTCTACTTATACTATACACATATATACAGGGTCTCTCCCAGAGACCTGTAGAATTTCCAGACAGATCTCATCTCATTTCTACAGACATGCCACAGCCATAACCTCCCCTCTGGAATTATGCTCCTGGAATTCCCTCACCTGTCCAGCTCTGATTACCTATGTACATTTAAATCACAGAGCAGCTAAAATTCTACCTCCTGCATAAAGCCCTCCCTGGCCAATCCCCTTCCTCTAGCATCCTCCAGGAGCCCTTAATTAATTTATTACCATCCTGTTCTGTCTACTAATAGCTTTGTGTTACTATTCAATTTTTCTAACAAGAACACAAGCTCCCCAAAGGCTATGACAATTTTTTTTTTTTTTTTTGAGACGGAGTCTTGCTCTGTCACCCAGGCTAGAGTGCAATGGCGCGATCTCGGCTCACTGCAACCTCTGCCTCCCGGGTTCAAGCAATTCTCTTGCTTCAGCCTCCTGAATAGCTGGGATTACAGGCGCCTGCAACCACACCCAGTTAATTTTTGTATTTTTAGTAGAGATGGGGCTTCACCATGTTGGCCAGGCTGGTCTCGAACTCCTGACCTCAGGTGACCCGCCCACCTCAGCCTCCCAAAGTGCTGGGATTACAGGCGTGAGCCACCGCACCTGGCCAAGGCTATGACGATTCTTACACTTCTCTACCCATCGTAGCCACTAGCAAAGGGCCAGAACAGCACAGCACAGGTGTTCAGAGAGCTTCCCCCGCATCACTGGAAATGTTCAAGCACAGGCTGCTGGAGAAGGGATTCTGGCAGTGACTAGACATAATGCTGAACCCCTCAAAAAGGAAGCGTTTATGACTACTATTAACTGGATCAATGAGACAGGGATTGGTTTTTGTTTTGTTTTTTGAGATAGGGTCTCACTCTGTCACGCAGGCTGGAGTGCAATGGTGTGATCATAGCTCACTACACAGCCCCAAACTCCTGGGCTCAAGCGATCCTCCCACCTCAGCCTCCAGAGTAGCTGGGGCTACAGGTGTGTGCCACCATACCTGGCTAACTTTTGTATTTTTTGTAGAGATGGGGTCTTGCTGTGTTGCCCAGGCTGGCCTTGAACTTTGGGGTTCAAGCAATTCTCCCACCTCAGTTTCCCAAAGGGTTAGGATTACAGGCGTGGGCCATCACACTCAGCAAGGGATTATTTTTGAAGATCACTGTCAGATTTTCTTTGGCGTTGTGACATTTAAGACAAATGTTGACTCTCATGGTTTTGAGGCTTGAGACTCCGCATGAATCCAAGTGGGGAGGGCTCTGGCCCTCCCTACATGTGAAACCTTCTACCTCCTGATGGTTTCCTACCTGCGATAACAGCAAAACAGAACCTCTCAAACTGGAGGTTTCTGACATTGCTCATAGGATGCATGCTCCAGTGTACATCAAGTGCAGCAGCTGGGGGGTGACAGCTCTAGGTTCCTTAGCTCTGGAGACATCCTATTCCAGAGAATGGGACCAGCATGCAGTTTCCGACCTGCTTCTTCTATAGAGGAGCAGAATCCCTGACTACGCACTTGCCGTTGCCCAACATCTAGTAGTCTTAGTTTGCCCATGAGCGAGGGGTTAAAAAGAAGTGCTCTGCCAACAGATTTTCAGGCTCCACCCAGACCCCTCATAGTGCTGGGTGATCCCAGGAGGACTGAGGAAGGGGAGAGGAGGAGCTTTCGGGCAGCAGGGCCAGCCCCTGGATTCGTACTCACATCAGCCAGCAGGAAGGCATCCACCTCATTGTGGTAAGTGTCGAACAGAAGACTCAGGGCCTGCCTGGGAGTTGGGGGCAGGGAAAAACCACAGGAGAGGTCATGAAAGACCCAGTGCCCTGGGAAACCCATTTTCTCCCTCCCTCTCCTCAGCTCACACTCTGATTTAAAGGAGTTCCCACTCTTTCTATATGTCCTGTGAAGACATATAGAGGGAGAGTCTTTCTATTCTGCCACTTCTCGCCTGGAGAGAATGATGGCAAAGTTCCAGAGGGAAGAAATGAAACATGCCTGGAGTGGGGATCTTCTCTGATAAGATGTGTGGGCCCCAACCCCTGACACCTGCAAGAATCCCTTAGCCCTGACAGAAAGGCAAGCAGGCACATCTGATGGGATCCCTGCACAGTTCTTGTTTGGAGCACATCCAAGATGGTGCCCACACTCACCTGCTGATGGTCTGCTTGACAGGCCTCTCTTGGAGATGGACGAGGTAGTTCAAGGTGGAGGGGCTCTGGTCATCATTCACCTGTATAAGAAGTGACCTATTCAGAGAGGGGCGGTGCCCTTATCTCAGCTCAGCACTCCTACCCCCCTCCCACCTGATGTGTTCTATATTGTATTCCCATTCCACCTCCCCAGCCCTGGGCAACCCTCCACCACCCTCACACGAACCGTCCGGGCCAGGTCACTGCGCACAACCTTCTGCTCCATCAGCTGTAGCCGAATGTCAATGTCAAACTTGCGGCAGTATTGGATGTACTCATGACTGCCCAAGGCATGCTTGCTGGTAGGGTAGAGGGACAAGACCATTAGCATCCTGGGGACTCAGTGGCAAGGGAGATACATACCTTAGCCTTGGGGAGAGACATACAGAAAGAAGGTTTAGGTAAGGGGGTAGTACCCGTGTTGTACCCTACTTTGGCTCCTAGAAAATGACACGGTAGAGCTTAGGAGAAGGAACAGAGGTCTATCTAAACAAAAGCCACCTAATATACTTAATCCTTGGCCGGTATAAATATTGACTCTCTTAGATATTTATTACCCGTGTGGTAATCACTGGTTCACTCCAGGGCTGGGAACTGTTGGAGAGAGCGGGGAAACAGAGGCACATCACAGGGAGCAGTTGCTGAAGCCCTATCTTCTGGGCCTCTGTATAGGGGACAACCAGGAAGAGACATGTTGGAGTCCACCTGTGCTCAGGCTCCAGGGTGGGAGCTCAGCGAGAGACCCCTCTTCCAATGCTACCAACTAGGGTGCTGAGGCCAAAAAAACTTGGGGCAAGCCTACCAAGCCTCCAGATCAGTGTCCCCACCCAACTTCTTTTTCTGCCTTCCATCTGTTGGCCCTGCCTGCTTGTGAATAACCTTACAAATTTCTATGACTTCTTGAAAAGTCCCAAATGCATGCCAGTCCCACCTGCTCAAGCACCCATGTGTGAGACTCCCCCTTTCAGAGAGAAGGCCTAGGAGCCCTCGGCGATCCAACCTCTTCCTCTCTCCCAAATCACACCTTCAACAGCAAGGAAACCCAAGAGGAGGGGCAGAGGGAGAACTACCTCCAGGCCAGCACTGCAGGCCTGGGCCTGGCCTCAGCAGCTGGGTAACAGAAGCCGGAAAAGGACTTCCTTCCTCAGCAGAGCTGGGAATCTAGGCCAGAAATGGAGAGGAGAGGACAGGAGCATAAGGGGGGCAGTATATGTAAAAGCTGGCGGAGGTGCAGGGCCCAGGGTCGTCTAGGTCCCATGAGGGCTCGAGTGAGGGGTTCTCCACATCCTGAGAGGACCAAATCTCCGATCTAGACCCTCTCAGATCTAAGACTGAAGTGCAGCCAAAACCTGGAGGTGGTGAGGCTGGGCTGTGGGGCTGGGCCTGGTGGGAGAGCCTGGGAGGAAGGAAGAGTGTGGTGGGGCTGGGGGAGGTGGCAGGAAACCCAACCCTCCCACGGGACTGCCTCAAGGTTCTTATCTGAGAGCAGCCTGCATCCTGAACCCACTCACCCCCTCAGTATCAGCCCCTCCTGCCAGGCAGGGGTAGAAAATCTCAGGGCTTCCTTGGGAACTAGCAGATTTCTGGAACCCCCGGAGCGTCCTTTCCACCCCCATCCCAGGCAGTTGTCATGTGTTGGGGGTCTGGGGGCTGGGCCAGGAGACAGCATTGTGCTTTTCTGTTGGGTGGGAGTGGGGCTCCTAGGCCAGGAGTCATGCACACAGGTCCCCTGGGGACTTGCTTGATCTTCTCTGTGGAAGGCCTTCCTCTCTGTGCATTCAAGTGAGAGTATGAGGGGTGTGATCTGAGGACCGCTGACCCTGTCCCACCTCACTAAGAATATTTCACCTGAGTCTTAGCAGGAAGGTAGAACTTGACAGCTCCCACTACCTCCGGACCCAGGGGCTCCAGGATTTGGGGTGCTGCAAGGGAAATGGCAGTATCTGTGCAGCCCAGAGCCCTAGGACTTCTCTCCGTGGGCTGCTCCTTCCCTGCTGGTATTTACTGATTGCTCACAGGTCATTCTCACATTTCACCCTCACTGCAGCTTACAGAGGGCCCTGAGCATCAATCAGCCTTCACAACTAGTAAGTGGCAAGTCCGAATTCAAACCTGTGTAATGGCGTCAGCAGGAGCTCCAACTTATCCACTATGTCCCCTTTTTCCCTTCTAACAGTGGCAGGCCACCTGGCACTCTCTCTGCCAGGCAACCCTGAGTCTAGGACCCCTCCTGTTCCTCTAGGGGAAAAGTGTGTACATAAGTGAGTTTAAAGGTGGGGCACATTTGAAGGGTACCCTGGAGTTGTACCATACAGAACCCTGCCTCTTTCCTTTCCCTTAGCTTCGAGATGAGGAGGCAGAGGCCAGAAAGGACCCCACAATATCCTTAAATTTGAAATAAGCCCAGATAGCTGGGCACAGTGGCTCACACCTGTAATCCCAGCACTTTGGGAGGCCAAGGCGGGCAGATCACCCGAGGTCAGGAGTTCGAGACCAGCCTGGCCAACATGGTGAAACCCAGTCTCTATTAAAAAATACAAAAATTAGCCGGGCGTGGTGGTGCTTATGCCTGTAATCCCAGCTACTCAGGAGGCTGAGGCATGAGAATCGCTTGAGCCTGGGAGACGGAGGTTGCAGTGAGCTGAGTGAGATGGCGCCACAGCACTCCAGCCTGCACGACAGAGTGAGACTCTGTCTCAAAAAAAGAAAGAAGTCCAGAAATGAATCTTCCATCCTGACTGCCAAATCTTATGCTCTAGACATAGATCAACCATCCTTGCATCTAGACCTGAATGTAAGAGAGAGAAAAAGCAAGCAGTGGCACTTATAGGGCACTCCTAAGAAGTGAGACACAGGTCTCTCCTTTCTCTATTCCCAAAACGTGCTTCCTCCAAGTGGACAGAGACTGGGGGCAGGAGCGGCTCTGAAGCCTAAGAGAGGAAAGCAGATCTTATCTGTCTGCTGTCACACAGCTGTACCATCTGAGAAGTGATAACCTTGCCCCTGCCTCTCTTCCACTGCAGCCCTCCAGAGCCCAGGGTAGTGGAAAGGGGGTTGCCTCAGCTGGTCCACATCAGACTTTCCAGGGAGGCTGCTTTCCAGAGAGGGCACTGGATGGAGAGGAGCTGGAGGCACGCCTTTGGGAGGAGGATAACTAGCTGCACGGGCCAGCTGGGGAAAAGACTTGTTGGCAGGAGAATGGGGAGAGACAGTAATTGTAATTTCTCCCCTGGGCTCCACAAGGGAACTTCTGCCCAGTCCTCATTTTGCCCCAGCCATAAAAACACCACACATAATCTAGAGCAGGAGATACAGCACTACCCATATAGTCTCCCCAAGCCCACCCCTCCCCACAAATACACACATCTCTCCATAAGCAGAATCTGCAAGCAGATATGACCTAGTCTTTGCCTAATCCCAGCTCCAAGCTCTTTCCACAGCAGACTTGGCTCAGGACGTCAGCCAACCCTGCTGGAAGACAGAGCTCCTGGGGAAAGTGCTACGTGGCCGAGAGTGTGCCCAGAAAGCAGGAGTCTTGACTGTGGGATTGGGGCGGAGCTGCCAGGCCGGTCCCAGCACCAATCCCATGAAGCCCCCTCACAATCTTACTACCAGGAAGGCAGGGGCTACCTCCCACCCATTCACTCACTTCTGCAGGAACTCCTCCAGCCCGCAGGGCTTTAGCACAAAGTCACCCACGTCCACATTCCTCAGGTCATCATGGGTGTAGCACAGGGTCTGGTAGATAAGCAAGTCTACAGTGGAGGAACCTGTGAAGGGTAAGGTAGGGGGAGCAATCATGATGGATGTCAAGGCAGATGGGTCTCAGTTTCCCCACCCTGATCCCCCTTTCCAGCTAAGTATTCTCCAGCACCATCACCAACCAGATAAAGCAGGCAAGTAGTTCAGAGTTGAGGAAAGTGACTGTACTAGAATGCTGGCCCCATAGCCAGCCCCTCACCCCCAAAGGAGCATCCTCACTGCCCTTCATCTGGGCCACAAGATGAGGTGGAAATCGAGTCAAAACACAGTCATCCCCACCCCACTTCAAGGGATGCTCACATCCTCTCCCCCCTCACTAACTTACAGTTGCAGGTGAAAGTGAGTGCCTCTTGAAGCCTGTCACACAACACAGTCACCTTCAGGTTGACCTCATCCCCGAGGTGCTCTGGGCTAGGGGTGACAGCACTCCAGACATAGCCAGTGAGGAAGTAGTCTTGGATGTCAGAGCCAGATCGAAGGCTGTACAGGAAGAAAAAAAACCCTCACTGTGCCTTTAGAAGAGAGTAGTCAAGAAGACATCTGTTGGGAACCTCATGCTCTGAGGCTCAAGAGCCCCTCTGTCCCCACTCAGCCCAGCCCTCCAAATTTGCAGGCCAGGATGGGGGCAGTGGGGTAGCAGCTCTGAGAAACCCCCTTCTTGACACTTCTCTTATAATTGCAAAATGTTTCCCACCATTGAACAGTACAAATAGTTCTAAAATGACAAAGCTTTCCATGCTAAGTTTAATGGAAAATTTTTTATGAATCCATTTCCTTTCTCTTTTAGTTCCAGATAACACTCTTATCGCCAGCTGGGGTGCATTTGCTCTTAAGGGCAACTGAGGGTCAGACTCTAGAGTGATCAGGATACTTTGACCATTCAATGGAGGTTTCATGAATTTTGCTAAAAATGTGAGACTTCTAAGATTTCAAAAACCCTGCAGACACTTGTTGTAGGAAGCATTTTCATAGCTATGAACTGAGATTTACTTATTATGGTGCTTCTTCCCTCCTAAAGAAAGTTTGGAAATGGATGGCCCCCCTCCCCATCCCCCATAGCCCTCCCAAATCCCACCCCATTCTTTAACTCTTACATATCCAGCATGTGGCAAAATGCAGCAACCTCCTCATCTCTCTCTTCTGAGACCTCAAACAACTCATGGCCATTGGCAACAGTGTGGGGCCGGGAGCCCACCTTTAAGAGAAGAGCAGACGACTCAGTGCCTTTTTCCTCGTGGTGTCCCCTCCCTATGAGGTACTCCAGACCTAAACTCAAACTCTAGATGAAAAGACTTTCTAGTCACTCGACATCCAATGAAAGGGGCACAAGAACATATGGGACATCCGGGAATACATGTATCTGCTGTCCTAGGAGACCAGGAGCCAAGTTGAAGAAGGAGGCGAAGCTCTGGCTGAGATGGACAAGAGTGTGGCCAAAGCCACTTCAGGAGGGGACAGTCTGATAAGCGTGAGGCAGCCAGTAAGGCAATCCAGTGCTGTTGGGCCTCTCCTGCAACACGGGCTTTCCGGGGGATTCTCCCAGAGGCGTGACAGGGAGCAGAGCAGACAGCTGTTTTTCCCAGCCCCTCTACTGAGGCTAGAGCAGGTGGGCGGCCCAAATGGTGCCCAGGGAAGCTTGGCCCTGGTCTAAAGCCTCAATATCCACAAGCCCCATGGACCCAAAGCAGAGAGAGACCCAGAACCCTTAGATAGAGGAGATGACTCAGACACATGTGCCTTCTGGGTAAATGCTATTTGAGGAAGAAAGCGTCAAAGCAGTGGTCTGGGCAGGGGAGGACCTGGTAGAAGCTTGGCTCCTCTGGCTTCCGAGTCAGCCGGCTCTGAACGGCCGGAATGTCAGGGAGCCTGCCTTGGCCCCACTTCCTCTCTCAAAATACGTGTGTGGTGGTAGGATTCTCAGACAAGGTCCCAAACGGTCTCCCATCCCAGAGCTGCTTTCAGTCACCCAGGAGGGTTCCTAAAGAAGCCCCTAGCAAGGCCTGTAGCCCAGCCCTAGGGAGAAGGAAGTGAGGGGGAGGGAGAGCTGGTGCATGACAGGTTTCTGCCTGAGGGGTCTGCTCAGGGCAGCCTGGGAGGCCACACCAGGGACGAGGCTTCAGCTCAGATGGAGATAAGGCCGGCATGTGGTTCCAACAGCTGTTTCTGGCGGGAGTCTAGCTCCGGCCTGTGCACATAGCAACGCCTCACATCTCTCACCCAACCTCTTGGCTACTCTCAAGTCCTCTCTGCCTCTTGGGGCAGATGACAGCAACTGAGCTCCTCATTTGAATATCCAGACTGTTTCCTCTGGTTGACCCTCTCTTGTTAGGCTTGCTCCCCTGGGTGTGCATGGGCGGCGGGGGGTGGGGGTGCACAGAGGGGAGGGCAGCAGTGGGGACAGTTGGCATGTGAGGCCCTGGCTCTGCCAAGTTCGTGCCTGTGTCCCAGTCAAAACAATAGCACCACTGTCAGCAATTAACCCACAAGAGAAAGGAGAGAGAGAGGAAGAAAAAGAGAAAGAGAGAGAGACAGTGGGGGGAGGGAAGAGAAGGCAAGAGAGGGAGAGAACAGAGTGGTCACTGAAGGCCACTCTCATGTCCTTTCTGTACCACTCACTGGCACCATAAGAAAACAAAAGCCACTTACGTTTGCCCAGCTGGCAGGCCCTGGTGGCATCACCCGATGCTGGCTGGGGGAGTCTGCCGGGCAGAGGCTGGCAGCAGGGGTATCAGGCTGGCATTTGGAGCCAGCCAGTTCCAGAGCTGGCTCCGCTGGCCTGGGATAAGGAGGTTCCCTCTGGCTGGAAGCCCGACGAAAGCGGGGCGGTGGTATAGGCCGAGGGCCCAAGGGGTCCCCCCTCCCAGCAGGCTGAGCCCCTGCAACAAGCTGAGCCGGGGAGGACCAAGGCCGCATTTCCCCACTCAGAACTGGCAAGAGCTTTTTGCTTTGTGTCCGCTTCTTCAAGGAGATTCTGGGCTGAGCTCTGTCTCAGAACTCTGATGACATGCAGGGGATGGGGAAGGGTGAGGGAGTAGGGGAGGCAGGAGAGAGAAGGAGTGACAGAGGTGACCACCTACCAGGGTGCCCTGACTCAGTGAGCAGGCCCAGCTGGGTGTGAGGAACTCAGAGCTGGGAACAGGAATCTCCCAGTCCCTATAAATAGCGGGAACAGCCCCACCTCTCAGAGCAGGGCCTTTAAAAATCCCTGAGCTCTAGGGATGTGGCTTATCCCAGGAGCTGATTCTGCTTTTGGGGGGACTCTCTTAGGAGAAGCGGAGGAAGGAAGAACTGTGTAGCTCTTCAGAGTTGGGAAGGTTCCCAAAGGCTAGACACAAGGTGGGAAAACCCCAGTGCCCCTTAAACAATGGCTAAGGAGGAAACCAGGACAGAATGAAGTAGAATGCTAAGCTGTCACAGAAGGCATCAGCAGCCAGGGGCATTGGCTTACACCTGTAATCCCAGAACTTTGGGAGGCCAAAGTGGACAGATCACCTGAGGTCAGGAGTTCAAGACCAGCCTGGCCAATGTGGTGAAACCCCGTCTCTACTAAAAATACAAAAATTAGCTGGGCATGGTGGCAGGTGCCTGTAATCCCAGCTACTTGGGAGGCTGAGGCAGGAGAATCTCTTGAACCCGGGAGGCAGAGGCTGCAGTGAGCCAAGATAGCGCCACTGCACTAAAGCCTGGTGACAGAGTGAGACTCTGTCTCAAAAAAAAAAAAAAAAAGAAGGCATCAGCCATGGGGGTGTCACTTGTCTCTTGACTCCTTGCAGCCAGGGTTTCCAGGGACCAAGGATGAAACACAAATAGGCCTTCTGGTCCTACCCAGGAGATGCTGCTGAAGCTCCCCTAAACCAGAAAAAAGATCAGAGCTGCCCTGGCACCTGCCTGGGGGCTTTGACCTAGATAGTTCGCTATTTTACACTATGTACTGATAAAAATAAAACTATTTGTCATACTGCATATTTTTTCTAAATATTTTCATTGTGAGAAGAGAATGAGTAGAGATGAATAATGCAAGGGTTGCACGACAATGTGAATGTCGTCAGTGCCACTGACTGCACACTTCCAAATGGTTACGGTGGCGAATTTTACGTTACGTATATTTTATCACAATAAAGAACAGAGCAGGGAGAGAGAGAGAGAGAAAGGGAGAAGGAGAGGAGGAGACAGAAGGCTTAGGAACGAGAGAGGCCAGGGCTGAATGCTGGCCCTGCTATTGCTTGCTGTGTGGCTTTGGACTATCAGGAAGGGTTGTTGTGGAGATCTGGACCAGGGTCTGGCATTCAGTGGGCACTAAACA
This sequence comes from Homo sapiens, assembly GCF_000001405.40. Taxonomy (NCBI): domain Eukaryota; kingdom Metazoa; phylum Chordata; class Mammalia; order Primates; family Hominidae; genus Homo; species Homo sapiens. Next base: position 204,468,428 of record NC_000001.11, read on the forward strand.
AGTGGTTACTATTGTGAATGATCTTCATCGCCACGCAGCGTTTTTGGCAGAGCAGGGCCTCAGAGCAAGCGGAAGCAACTTGCTCCGGTCCAGAGGGCCATTCAGCCAGTCAATAATGAATCCCATAACTCCCAATTCAGTCCTTACATCAGGAAGCAGGCACACGCTAGGAACCAGGATTCCCAAATGCCTGCCCCAGAAGGCCCGTTTTGGCCAAGATACATGAAACCTGGCCCTGAGAAGGAGCCCTCCCTCTACTGGTGTCCACCCCTAATCAAGCCTCCCCTGGACCTCCCCCACCAGGGCCAGGGTCCCAAAGAGGGTAGGAGAGGCCTAAAGGGGTAAGGACTTGGCAGAGTTGGATGTAGAACAGCAGAGACTAGTCCCTGTTTCTGAAGGACATGGAGAAAGGAAGGCAGAAGAAACACAAGAAGGTCCTCACCGGGGCTGCAGAAATCCGGCGGTTCTTGCCAGGCGTCGCATTCTTTCGGTTGCCATAGCGGGAGGCATAGGTGCGGGGGGGCACCTGAGGGGGCATAGTCTTGCTCCTGGCCACGGGTTTTCCAGAGGTGTCTTTGCTGAAGTCCAGCGGCCCTCGGCCCTCCTTCCAGCCCCTGGTGGCATCCCGCAACATCTCCGCATCATAGGTCGATTTCAAGTTGAGCCTAGTAATTGCATCATTGATACCATCATAGTCCACAGACCCCAGTAGGCGCCCCTGACCCCCACCTCCCAGCACCTCTTCCTCTTCTAGGATCCGATGCTCTAGCAGTTTGCCCGGCAATTGTTCGACCAAAGAGAAAGTGTTGATGTCACTGGGCTGGGAGATCTTGGAGGATGAGGGGGACCCCTTTCTGGGAGGCAGGGGAGGGGTATCCCAGATAGAAGCTCGGGGAGGCAGAGGAGGTGGGGATAGTTTCTTGCAAGAGCCCTCTATGTCCCCTGGTCCTGGGGACGAAGAGACTCCCCCATCTGAACCATCAAAAATGTAGAGATAGTCTCCAGACAGGGAGCCTTTGGGCCAGGGATCTGAGCCAGGCTGTGGCCCTTGGGAGGTAGAGTGGTTGGGCGGCCCTTCCTGTGGGGAGAGTGAGTTGTAGTTAAGGGTAGGATCAGAGCCAGAGAGACCGCGTAACAGCTTGAGGTCGGTCCGCCTTCCTGCTGGCTTGCTGTAAAAGTCTACCCCAGGCTCATCCCAGCTGATGAGAGAGGGGTCTGCGTTCTGCTTGGCTCTGTTCTCCTCCTTGTCATGCCGGAGCCGGGACAGGGCATCATACTCCATCTGCAGGGCTTCGGCCATCGCTAGCTCTTTGCGGCTGATGCCCACTGACTCCAGGGACTTCCAGTGTTCCCCATTGCCCTGAGTCGAAGACATGGTGAGGATGGGGGACACAGGCAACAAAGTCTCTACTTCCTGCCAACGTCAGTTCTGGAGGGTTGTGACATGGTGTCTGGGCGCCTGCAGGTGAGGGGTAAAAATATCAATCAGTCACAAAGAGAGATTTACTAATCATCCATAATAATCCAATTTAGGTGATATTATCTGGGCCAGTGCCTGCTTCTTCGTTGTGTACAACTAATGGAATGTACAGGAAGATGGAGGAAAAAAGGGATACCAAGACAACTTTACCTATTTATTATATCCAACTATCCATCCATTCATCTCTACATGCCTCATCTCTGCGCCCTAATCCCTATACTCACCTCTGTCATTTGTGCCCCAAAAAGAGAGAGAGGCACCTTTTTTTTTTTTTTTTTGAGATGGAGTCTCGCTGTGTCACCCAGGCTGGAATGCAATGGTGCGATCTCGGCTCACTGCAACCTCCACCTCCCAGGTTCAAGTGATTCTCCTGCCTCAGCCTCCCTAGTAGCTGGGATTACAGGCGCCCACCACTGCGCCCGGCTAATTTTTGTATTTTTAGTAGAGACAGGGTTTTGTCATGTTGGCCAGGCTGGTTTCGAACTCTTGACCTCAGGTGATCCACCCGCCTAGGCCTCCCAAAGTGTTGGGATTACAGGCGTGAGCTACCACGCCCAGCCAAGAGGCACCTTCTATTAGCCAAGAAGAAGAGATGGAAGCAAAGCTTCTCCAGTCAATTTGAAGAGGACAGCTCTCATACACTACTGGTGGGGAATGTAAAATGGTACAACCACTTTGGAAAACAGGCAGGTTCTTAAAAAGGTCAACATACACCTAACACAGGATTCAACTATCACTCCTACTTATCCAAGGAAAATAAAAGCATATGTCTACACAAAGACTTGTTCATGAATATCCACAGCAGCTTTATTTGTAATATCCCAAAATGTCCATCAACAGTGAATGGATTTTTAAAAATGTGATGTCTATACAATTGAATACTACTTGGCAATAAAAAGGAATGAATTATTGACAAATGCAATAACAAGGCTAATCTTAAAATAGCTTTGCTGAGTAAAAGATGCCAGACAAAACAGTATGAGTACATATGATTCCATTTATATAAAATTCTGGAAAATGCAAACTGATCTATAATGACAGAAAGCAGATCAGCGGTATCTGGGGGACAGAGTGGAAAGAGGGGTGGATTACAACGGGACACAAGGGAACCTTTGGAGGTGATGAATATGTTCATTATCTCGATTGTGGTCATGGCTTCACTGGTATTCTCACATGATGGCTTCATTGGTATTCTCACATGATGGCTTCACTGGTATTCTCACATGATGGCTTCACTGGTATTCTCACATGATGGCTTCACTGGTATTCTCACATGATGGCTTCACTGGTATTCTCACATGATGGCTTCACTGGTATTCTCACATGATGGCTTCACTGGTATTCTCACATGATGGCTTCACTGGTATTCTCACATGATGGCTTCACTGGTATTCTCACATGATGGCTTCACTGGTATTCTCACATGATGGCTTCACTGGTATTCTCACATGATGGCTTCACTGGTATTCTCACATGATGGCTTCACTGGTATTCTCACATGATGGCTTCACTGGTATTCTCACATGATGGCTTCACTGGTATTCTCACATGATGGCTTCACTGGTATTCTCACATGATGGCTTCACTGGTATTCTCACATGATGGCTTCACTGGTATTCTCACATGATGGCTTCACTGGTATTCTCACATGATGGCTTCACTGGTATTCTCACATGATGGCTTCACTGGTATTCTCACATGATGGCTTCACTGGTATTCTCACATGATGGCTTCACTGGTATTCTCACATGATGGCTTCACTGGTATTCTCACATGATGGCTTCACTGGTATTCTCACATGATGGCTTCACTGGTATTCTCACATGTCAAAACTTATCAAATTACACACTTTCAATCTGTATATTTTATTATATGTCAATTACACCTCAATAAAACTATAAATGAAAAGTACAAGAGAACCCTGTGAAACGGACCTTGTAATTACTCAGCTTGCACTAGGATCCTCCCAAAATACACCAATATATAAAATAAAACAAAGCTTGCCAACAGGTGAGACCCGGCTACCTGATGTCTTACAGGTGTGCCAAAATATTGATTTTTTTTTTTCCCCCAGCCCTCAGGAAGCCACACTGGATCTCCAGGCCAGTGCTTCCACTTACTTCAGCGGTGGTATCCTTTTCTCTAGAAGCCATGACGTGAACAGAGTTGAGAAGCATTCAACAAATGGTGGTAACGACAAGGTCAGTCTGGCCCAGTGGTTCTCAACCCCAGCTGCAACATTAGCAACACTGGGGGAACTTTTTTTTTTTTTTTGAGACGGAGTCTCACTCTGTCGCCCAGGCTGGAGTGCAGTGGCAGGATCTCGGCTCACTGCAAGCTCCACCTCCCAGGTTCATGCCATTCTCCTGCCTCAGCCTCCCGAGTAGCTGGGACTACAGGCACCCGCCACCACACCCGGCTAATTTGTTGTATTTTTAGTAGAGATGGGGTTTCACCGTGTTAGCCAGGATGGTCTTGATCTCCTGACCTCGTGATCCACCCAGCTCGGCCTCCCAAAGTTCTGGGATTACAGGCGTGAGCCACCGCACCCGGCCCGACTGGGGGAAGTTTTAAAAAGTACCGAAGCCCGGCCGGATACGGTGGCTCACGCCTATAATCCCAGCACTTTGGGAGGCTGAGGTGGACGGATCACCTGAGGTCAGGAGTTCGAGACCAGCCTGGCTAACATGGTGAAACCTCGTTTCTACTAAAAATACAAAAAATTAGCCAGGCGTGGTGGCACACGTCTATAATCCCAGCTACTCAGGAGGCTGAGGCAGGAGAATCACTTGAACCCGGGAGGCGGAGGTTGCAGTGAGCTGAGAGTGCATCATTTCACTCCAGCTTGGGCAACAAGACCAAAACTCTGTCTAAAAAAAACAAAGTACTGAAGCCTGAATACTCTCAAGAGATTCTGATTTAATTGCTCTGTGGTAGGGTAATGGTATTTTTTAAAAACTCCCCAGGAGATTCTAATGTGTAGCCCAACCTCAGAACTGTGGATCTATGAATGTGTGTTTGTGATTAGGTTGGGGGAGACCAGTGTGAAGTAGTCACTTCTGACTCTTAGCATCAGCAGCCAAGAGGTTGACAGTTTCATAAAAATTATCAGAAAATGTTCATTCTATTGTACTGCTTCACCCAACAGGTAACAAACATGAAATTACACCTCATGATTAGAATGTTGAAAACATCAATAGGAAAAAGGCTCAGATAGACTCTTGGGTGGCAAGTTGCTTAGATTCAAAATAAGTTAGGACAAAGGTATCCCTTACCCTGGGGTGCCCTCCCAGGACCCTGGTACATCTGTCAGGTATAGGCACAGGACCCTGGTCTGAAGGGTTCTGGCTCAGTGAATCTGACAACTATTGCACTTAGGAATTAGTTCACCAAGGACAGACCGGCCCAAGCCCAGCCTCAGAGTATCTAAAGCAGTTCACTGTTAACTTAATTTCTCTGCCTTTCCACAGCTCCTTACAGATCACTTTTTATCCACAGTGGGTATGAGGGAGTCTTGCTATTTGAAATTCAAAGGAGTAGCATAAGCAGATGGAGATATCCAGAACCTAGCTGCCTGGAGCTGGGAGACTAGTCCCAGGAAAAGGAGGGCCTAGTGCCTTATAGATAGGAGATACCAGATAAATGCTCAAAGTTGGATTGGGCTTAAGTATGTTAATCCAGAGAATGACTGTGTATTTTCAGCGCTGAGCTAGGACAAGCAGAGTATTAAGATTTGCCTTAGCAGGCACTATTGTGAGAAGGAAAATTCAGGCCATTGGAAATAATCTTTTTCAACTTCAAGCCTCTCTTCCAACACCCACTTATGCATACTTGCACTCAGCTTCACTTTCTTCCTTTTGGCCCAGGGGAAGCAGATTCCTGCCTCCTGCTGAGGCACAATCCTCTTCTGCTCTTGCCCCATCCACTTCATCTCTAGGATAATGCTCCATGGATTTCCCTTCCCTCTCCTGTATCTTCAATCTCTTCTCCTTAACATGGTTTTTCTCTTCAGCACATAAACATGCTTCACCTAATCTTAACAAGAAAGGAAAAACTCCGAACCCTAAACACCTCCCCTTGACTTTTTTTTTTTTTTTTTTTGAGATGGAGTTTCGCTCTTGCTGCCCAAGCTGGAGTGCAATGGCGCGATCTCGGCTCACCGCAAGCTCCGCCTCCCGGGTTCAAGCGATTCTCCTGCCTCAGCCTCCCGAGTAGTTGGGATTGCAGGCATGCGCCACCACGCGCAGCTAATTTTGTATTTTTAGTAGAGACAGAGTTTCATCATGTTGGTCAGGCTAGTCGCGAACTCCCGACCTCAGGTGATCCGCCCGCCTCGGCCCCCCAAAGTGCTGGGATTACAGGCGTGAGCCACCGTGCCCGGCTCCCCTTGACTTTTTGTCCTCTCTGTTCATCCTTCCATTCTCAGCCAAGCTTCCAGAGAATGGACTACACCTGATGTTTCCAAATTCTCCCTTCCCATTTACTCTTTAACTCATTGTAATCTGGTGTCTGCCCCCCACATCCCACTAAAACTGCTCCAGCAACAATGCCTGGGCTGCCCATTTCCGTAGCCATTTCCACCTGCCTGGACATTGCTGCTGTATTTGGCTCTCCAAACCATTCCCTTCTTCCTTAAACCCTCTCCCGCTGGCTTTCATGAAGATATTTTTTTCTTGTTCTCCATCTCCTCCTTCTTTGTCTTCCTCTTCCTTTGTCCACCCCTGAAATGTTGGTGTTGGCTCAGGATTCTATTCTCAGCTTACTGTTAACTCTACCCCCTCTGCTTGGGCAATCTCATCTATTCTTGTTTCCTATCCATACTACTCACATGTTGATGATTCCAAATATGTATCTCTCCTTCAAGTTTACATGCCCACTCATATCTCAAAATCCAAATGTCCAAAACTCAACTATCATCTTCTTTCCTCCCCACAATCTGCTCCTTGCTCCTGGTTCCCCATTGTGGTGAATGGCACCACCCAGTCCCCCAAGCTAAAAATCCTGCAGTCATCCTAGAGTCCCCCTTCCTTTCACCCCTCTCTCTAATTGCCAAGGCCTGCCACCTTTTCCTCCTTAATACTTCCCAAAGCTAATCTTTCCTTCTATCCTAACTGTGGTTGCCCTAATTCAAGCCCTTATCTTCTCTCATTTGGGCTATTACAATGGCCTCCTAATAGTCCTTCCCCCTACTAACCTTGGCCTCTTCAAGGCTTTTTCACAGAACATCCTGAGGGCTCTTCCTAAAATGTAAATCTGATCACCTCGCTTCCTGCCTAAGATATTTCAAAGGCTCTCTGATTTCTCTATAAGACTCTCTCCTGCCCTGCTCTCCCTCTCACCTCCAACCATTCATGACCACGTATGTGATACCTCCGTGACTTGGTTCAAATTGTTCCAATTTGCTATTTGCTATTGGCTCCCAATAGCAACCAGTGTATATCTCAAACACAGGCTTAAGATATTTTATTCAAAATTGACATGTTTATGGATCCATCACCCCTACTATGTTCCTCAAGTTCCAAATTCCCATCATTTCCACTGAGCTTGAACTGGAATGTCAGGGCAGAACCTTCTGGGAGGTGGGGAATTTTCAGACATGGAGATGGGTGGTCAGGATGTAGGTGGTGTGCTCCTTAGTATCCTTCAGACACAGGACTGGGTTTTGGAACTAACCAGGTTGGATTGGCATCTGTAAGGCAGGGGCAAGGATGGCAAGAAAACCACACACAGTCCCTTCCAGCTCTGGGATTCCTTGATTCCAACCTACTGATTCCTTAGGTCAAATCTCTCAGAGGACTCCAAAGTCACAGGAAAGAGAAGGAAAGGTCCCAGGGTGATCCAAGCAGGCACTGTTCCTGAAGCTCTTCCCAGACTGGAATTCAGACAGAGGAAAGGCGAGCTACCCCTCTCTAACCACCATCCTCCTGGCTCTGGGCCAGGCCACCACTAGACTGTCTCAGCCACACAGGGAAGGAAGCCCACCCCTCTGACAGATCTCATGCCCAGGGCCACACTGGCAATGCTCCTCCCAAAGGCTCAGCACTCAGCTCACTATGATGCTGAGAGGTGGCAGTGAGGAAATGGGACAAACAGCATCCCCCACAGGACCAAGAAGGCCACCCCCAAGGTGAAGCGAAGGTTCAGAGAGCAGCAGCCAGACACGAGGGAACTCCAGAGATGGAAACACAGGAGCAACCAGTCCCAGCGACCTTGAAACACAGCGACCTGGCTTCCTCTAAAAATTCAAGCCCTAGATTTCATTTTCCAGGACTAGAGGACACGCAGAAAGTATTTTAGGAATCAGGGTTTCATGTTTCCTGCCTCCCCACTTCCCCAATTCAGTTCTCTCTCTGTCAGGCTCTACATTAGAAATTGCTCTAGGGCCAGGCGTGGTGGCTCATGTCTGTAATCCCAAGGACTTTGGGAAGCCGAGGCGGGGGGATTGCTTGAGCCCAGGGTTCAAGACCATCCCTATGGGGGGAAAAAAAATTAGCTGGGTGTGGTGGCATGGACCTATAGTCCCAGCTACTGGGAAGGGTTAAGTGGATGGATCGTTTGGACCTGGGAGTTTGAGGCTACAGTGAGCCGTGATCGTGCCATTGCACTCCAGTCTGAGTGACAGAGACCCTGTCTCAAATTAAATTAAATTAAATTAAAATTTAAATTAAGATTGCTCCATTCCCTTAGTCTTCAAGGGCTACTAGGGATTCTGTATAAAAACAAATAGCCATGTCGGTCCCTTGAAAGAGGAAGGGTAGATCAGGGCCTGCGTCTCTGCTACTCTGCAGCCCATCCAGGGAGAGATGGCTGGGGCCAATGCCACTATGTCACACAACTCTAGGGGGCACCCCACACATTGTATTCTATGTGAATGATACCCCCGACCACAAAAATGAAAACCATGTGAATGGTGCCTCCTGGAGTTATACACCTTGGTGGTTCAGGCTGCGTTCTCTCCTAATGTCCACCTCTTAGAAAACAGATGGAAATCGTCCAGAAGGTCTGTTACAGCCAGTTTTCTTTCACCACCTGCCTGCAATAATTGTTAACATTTCTCCACATTTGCTCTCTTTCTTGCTCTGCTTTACCATTTAAAAGTAAGATGCCCTTTGCAAAGTGTTTGTAAGAAACACTTTGCCTCTAAAAACTTCAGCCTGAATCTCTAAGAGCAAGGGCATTCTCCTATGTAAAACACAATGCCATGAGCACACCCACAAAACTTAACATTGACAACAATAATATTATCTAATGCACACTCCACATTTGAGTGACCGCAATTGTCATCTGCGAAGCTTTAAAAATATACACATTCCCGACCTCTCCTCTGGAAGTTCTGACTCAGTAGGGTGAGTCCCTGGATGCTGGATGCTTCAGTAGCCCCTAAAGTGATTCAAATGTGCAGCCAGGTTTGACCCCACAGAAGAGGGTTTCAGAACTCTCAGGAAGACAAGAAGACCTGGGTAGAGGCACCCCAAAAAGCACCAGTCAGCTGAAGAAACAAGAGGACATGCCTATGGCCAAGCAGGTCGGTGCCAGGGTCTGAGCTGCACCAGGCACCAAACTCAGTCTCACAGCTGCCCACAGATGGCTGAGGGCTAGCCGGGGAGGAAATGGGGTCAGGACAGAGTGACACAATGGTTCAGAGTCAAAGGATGGAAAGAAAGGAGAGGGCACTCCCTCCAGTGGAGCTGGCTCTGTTTAGTCCCTGTGCCAGAGAGGGAGGAGCCCAGGGGCCACCACTGGAGCCAGTGGGTGGTGAGGGTTCCTGCTGTCTTGCTGGAAGGCACCCTAACAGAATTGTTCTCCTTGGGACTGGGAGAATCTAGAGGGGTCTGGGTCATCTCTTCCCCATACCCTGAGCCACAGATTGGATCCCAAAGGGTGTTGAGTACCAGCTACATGCCAGGCCAGGCACATACATATCTAAAGACTACAAGTATTCAGATGACTATGGCACAATTCCAGGGAGCTTACAATCTAGCAAAGGTGGCAGACACATACATAAAGAATTCAATCCCCTCTTGGGGTGTAAAGCAGGAAGCAAGAAGGTACTGCATGTCTTGGACCATCTTCAGTGGGCAGGGAAAATGGAAAGCTCTCAAGCAAGGCGGTGAAGAATATGCAGGGTTTCAAGCCCCCAGTCTTGGGCATCCTGATTTTCAGTAGATTTTACTAAGGGAAGAGACTCAGCTCTAGGACTTCCCCAGGAAGGGACCCTCAGCACTTCCCCTAAGGACAGGCAGGGTCAGGGAGTCAGAGGCCATTAGGACTTAAACCCTTTGGTGTCCAGGTTTTTCTCTTCAGAGAGGACCTCCACTTCTGTCCATCCCCCAGCACCCACACTCACCCATACCCCCAATCCCACCTCCTTTGCAGCCAGGGACCCTGCCTCGCATCTCACTCCACACACATGCCGCTGGCTCCAACTGCCCCTCCCACAGCCCGGCTCTAACAGGGAACATCAACACACTGCCAGGAATCCGACTCCTACAGCAGGGAGGTGTATTAAGGTCAAGCAAGCCGGCTCCCCCAGCCTCCAACAGATGTGCATCTGATCCCTGCTTCCTTATGGAAAACCCACAGGTTGTATACAGCTCTATAAGCTTTTTTGATGGCAGGTCTATTACAGAATCACATGCATCCATAAGGTCTTTCTCTTCTCTAGTGTGCGTGCCCTCTGGGTGCCTCTCATCTAGTTCCAAATGTGAGAAGACAAAATAACAGCTTGTGTTTTCTTCCCACTTATACATCCCCTCTCTAGTGACCTCTATAGCTAAACTAAAGCAGCCGCACATGGTCTGGCATTTCCTACCAGGACTTACTCTCCATTATTCTACTCTCTGGGCATACCATACCCTGGACTCTCCATTAATTTGAAGCCAAAGTGCACACAAGAGTTTAGTGGAAGTCTTTCTGGGTCCTAGACAATCAGAGGGACAGAAGCTTGGAGCCTGTGGGACACAGCTACATAAAGTCAGGTCTGCATGCACTGCTGACTCCAACTCAGAGACCCCGATTCTAGCTCAGAAACCATTTGGTCTCATGCACACACATAGAATCCTTGGAGATCATAGCTCCTGCTACATACCCTGTAGACTGTGGGCTCTGTGTTATGAGGAGACCAGGATGGAAGAGGTGAGGCAGCTTGTGGCTCCTCTAAAAACTTTCCTTCCTCTAGAGCTGGCAATTTTGATTGCAGGGTCAGGAACCAGAAGCTGGCAATCAACTGAATGGAACATTTGGCAAAGAAGGAAGAAAAGCTTTGGCAGTACGTGTATTTCTAACCCAGGAATCATCCCAGGAGCCAGAGCAGCCACATCTCTGTCTGGTTCCTACTTCCTGCTTCCTCCTCCCCTCTTCCCTCACCCAAGAACCAATCCTTCTCATCCAGTTCACCCCAGGTTCCAAGGGCATGGTAGTTATGAGGGACTCCTCCAGCTTTCTTGGCCTTCCAGAGAAAGGTAGGGGGACAGGGAAGGTCCCAGGATGACCTCCCCTGACCAACCTTGGCCTCCAGCTGAGGAGACCACCGAGGGAACTTCTTTACACACAACTTTCACACCAGCCCATCCTGTATCAGAAAAACAACCACAGAATTTCCAAAAAGCAACACCTAGGAAACCCTAAACGCTCTGAAAATACTGTAGATGCTGTGAAGTATAAACAAAGGTCCTCTGAAAGAGGACACAGAAAATGGGTGGAGTTAGAGACGAAGACACAGTAGCTCTCTTTAGGCCTGGCCTCCCCCATCTACCATCCTCCTCAGCTTTGCCTCGATACAGCATTTGCTTCCTATAAACTGAGGTCTTCTGCAAGGCCCAGATTGTCACCACTGTCACCTCCAGCCTCAGTTCAGCTTCCTTAGCTCATGCCCTTGGGAATCCAGTTCTGCAGGATTCATTCCTGTGTGGGTGGGGAAAACTCCCTGGAGGATGCCAGCCTGTTCAGCAGAGTCCATAAAGCAAGTCCCAGCTGTTCCCATCCAGCCAGGGCACCAAAGTGAGGAAACAACATAACAACAAGGCTCTGCTCTGCCTGGAGGGCTCATCAGAGAGAGGACAGGAGAGGCCACGGCAGAGGAGCTGCCTCCGCAGGTCTTCTGCACTGGGCTCGGCGGGGCCGGGCTAACCCATCCAGGTCTGCAAGGAGCAAGGAGGCAGTGTGGAGGCGTACTTCAAACGAGGGCCCAGCCCCATTCCAAGGGGATGAGGATGTACGTCGGGGTAACTGCAGAGGCACTGGACTGACCAGAGAGCACTGAATAATGCCAGTGAGACCATCCTCCAGAAGGAAGACATCCTTGCTGGGCTGACACTGGCTTTTTGAGCAAGCGTCTCCAATTTGTTCAATTATAATGATTGTTAGGGTGCTTTCTGGTAGCACCTTTCTCAGATGTCCAAAAGGTTCTCTCTGGTCTTGAAGACAGGGTCCTCCTTTCTGTCCCAGATGAGAGGGAGGACCACTCAGGCTAAGTGACTTTGTACTGTCTCTCCTACTGGAGCTGTTCCAGAGTTGGGAAAAGATTGTAGACCCGATGAAGGGAGGCTGGCATGGTGGGAATACTCAGAAACACTCTTGGCCCCAGCCCTGTGCTCTCCCCTGCAAGTATACACTCAGCACAGATATGCCAGAGCCCCAGTACCCAGAAGGATCACACACATAAGAGTAGAGGAGGCAGGGCCAGCAGCTCCCAGGTGGTGGTGCTGTCTGTGGGGAGGATGGGGGTGACTGCCTGTAAGCCTGGGTGCAGGAGCCAATGGGCAGGGCCAGGCTGTGTGGGTGGTGGGCTGCCGGCAGCTGACAGCCACCTGCTCAGCTCTGAGAAGGGCCAAAGGAAGTCAAGCAGAAAAAGGCAGAGCCAGCCATTCATGGGAACCGGCTAAGGCGCCGACCAGCCCCCGCGCCATGCTTCTTTCTTCCCTTGGGATAGGAAGGCTCTCCACCACGTGCCCACAGCCCAGCCCACTGTCCCTGTGCCATCGTGGTGTTCCTCAACCAGCAAGCTAGACTCAGAGTCTAATGATAAAGCAGGATATCTTCAGTTAATGCTAACTCCTCAAATATCAAGGCAATCCCTAATAGATTACAGTCACTCTTGGGGGCCTGAAGCCATAGGGATCACACAAACCATGTGTAACCCCCAACCCCTCCACATACTTTTCCCCCTGCACCCCACACACACATCTATGTCTCCCCGCTACATACACACCACACACCTCCCATGCTTATCCCATACCCCTCACACCCTCCCCATACACACCCTACTCTCCCCCGACACACACCCTCCTGCTCACTCACTCCCTCACCAGCTCTCCCAGAAGAGAAGAGAGGAAGCTGGCCTAGACCCATAAGGTCACATTCTTTTTTTTTTTTTTTTTTGAGACATAGTCTCGCTCTGTCGCCCAGGCTGAGTGCAGTGGCGTGATCTCCGCTCACTGCAACCTCCACCTCCCAGGTTGAAGCAATTCTCTGCCTCAGCTTCCTGAACCACAGGCACCCGCCACCATGCCCAGCTAATTTTTTGTATTTTTAGTAGACACGGGGTTTCATCATGTTAGCCAGGATGGTCTCGATCTCCTGACCTCATGATCCACCTGCCTGGGCCTCCCAAAGTGCTGGGATTACAGGCATGAGCCACCACGCCGAGGTCACATTCTTAGTGTCACTGGCAAAGAAGTCTGAGAAAAAAGGTTAAACCCAGAAGAAAAAGGAAAACAGGCCCTCTCAGCACCAGGGGGCAGCTCCGGCCCTTCCCCAAGCAGGCTGTTCTCTGCGTTCCAGCAGGCTGAGGGCACTCAGGCAAAGAGAATGCCACAGAAGGAGCCTCAGGCAGAAGAGCTTCACAAGAGCCCTCTCCCAAATGCCCCCAGGCCTTCTGGCAGGCCCCCCAGGGTGGCCGGTCATTCCCTAAATCAGGAAGGTGTAAAGAAGCCGTGGGGTCCCCACAGACCAGGGTAGGAAAGGAAAGGGACACCGGTTTTCAAGCAGTTCCAGTCTTTCAATCCAGAGAAAAACAGAAAAATGAAACACCCCTAAACATCTGATACTCACTTACACAGGGGTGTGAGAGGTCAAGGTGTTAGTCCCTCCCAGGGCCATTTGCATTAAAAAGCAGAATCTAAGGAGGGGAGCACCCAACCCAACAGGCCCTGGAAATGGTAAGACTTCTATTTTCCCAGGGAGGAATGAGCCATGAAAAGACGGGGGGGGGGGGGGGGGTGCTCTCTAATGTTAGGCCCCATAGCTCCATGGCCTCCCCCTGGTCTCTGCTCCTGAGTGTAGGAACCTCTTGCCCCTCTAGAGTACAGTCCCCACAATGCTGCCCACTGGGCAGCCTGCCCCTTTAAGGCACTGACCCCTCCAAACCCTGGCCTTGGCTATTCTTAGCCCAGGTTGATCCAGGTGGCCACGGTCCTCTGCCTACAGCCATGCAGTTCCCAAGCTGGGAGCCTCCATTCTTCCTGGTAGCAGGCCAGAAGGATATCCTGCTCCAGGGTCAGTCAAGGACACTGAACCCAGCCGGAAGACCAAGGATTCTACTTTAGCCAGGTCAAAGGAGAAACCCTACTCAGGATGCAACGCCTTAAGAGAGAACTGAAGGCTGGGTGCAGTGGCTCATGCCTGTAATCCCAGCACTTTGGGAGGCCGAGGTGGGCAGACTGAGGTCAGGAGTTCGAGACCAGCCTGGGCAACATGGTGAAACCCCGTCTCCACCAAAAATACAAAAATTAGCTGGTGTGGTGGTGGGTGCCTGTAACACCAGCTACTTGGGAGGCTGAGGCAGAAGAATCTCTTGAACCCAGGAAGCAGAGGCTGCAGTGAGCCGAGATCGCGCCACTGCACTGCACTCTGTCTCAAAAAAAAAAAAGAACTGAGAAACAAGATATTCTCCAAGATGCCTGTGGTGTCCCAGAATCCTCAAACCACAGGAAGAATATCTCGATGGGGGGAATGGGAAGAAGGCAGTGGTCCTGATGGTGCCAGACCACAGGGGATCCCAGAAGGACTGCCCATGTCAGCCTGGTCACCCCTAGACATGTTGCAGCCGTAGGTTTCAGTTTCCCCTTAGCCCTGCTCACCTGCACGTACAGCGTGGTATGGACTCCCCATCCCTATTTCCATTTGCACCTGACTCTTAGGGCCCCAAAGCCATGGCTACCACTGGGGGTGCCTTTCTCTTCCTCCTGCTTTCTCTCTCTCCTGCTTCCATCCGAATTCAAGATCCTCAGAAAGGCCAGGCACAGTGGCTCACAACTGCAATCCCAGCATTTTGGGAGGCCAAAGCAGGACGATCGCTTGAGCCCAGAAGTTTGAGGCCAGCCTGGGAAACATAGACTCCATCTTTACAAAAAACACAAAAATTAGCTGGGTGTGGTGGCATGTACCTGTAGTCCCAGCTACTTGGGAGGCTGAAATAGGAGGCTCAACTGAGCCATGATTGAGACACTGCACTCCAGCCTGGGTGACAGAGAACCCTGACTCAAAAAAAAAAAAAAACGATCTTCAGAAGCCTTCCCTGGTTAAGCCTTCCAATATCTCCTCACTTTTATTCTCAGTGTCTCCTTAATACCCTGATACTCTGTTTCACACTGATAAAAATGGTGGCCCTGTCGCCTGGGGAACAAGAGCAACGCTTTTGCTTTGGATATTAACTGACCATTTTTGCATCTCTGTGCATGGAATGGTTATGGGTCATGAAGATTTTGAAAAAAGAAAGTGACTTTAGCGAGGGGGAGGGGTATAGAGCAAAGAATCATGTCAATTAGTTTTGATGTTGCTTTGTACATGCCCTGATGCCTTTCTCCGATCTCTTATCCCCCCAGTTTGCACAGGAAGGTCCCAAGAGAGACAGATGTCCTTAAGACAGAACCTAAGTCTACACTAAGCAAAGGGTGAACCACTGGCACAGTATAGCATGCTCACATTCCACCAGCCCCTTGCCCATGTGACCCTCGCCCAGTGTCTCCCAGGGTAGCAACAGTCAGAGGTCATTCTCAGCAGGGATTCACTGACTGCTTAAGCTGGATGAGCGACCAGGGTGTGACCGTGTAAGCATCCGGCACCAACAGTCCATAGGAACTGTGTCGAAACACCTTTCCCGTGTATGTGCCATTTCAAGGTCTGTGAAACTAGTACAGCCCACTGTAGCAACGGGAGTGAGGGTGTTACACTTTGTGCTGGTGAAAGGGAAAGAGAAGGAAGGCAGAGAAGTGGGGAGACAGGAGGGAAGACTACATGCATATGAGCATCACAGAAATAGAAGGAAGGAAATATACCTTTTTTTCCCCCCTCTGGTATTTTGTGCCAGGTATTGTCTTATTTAGTCCTCACAACAATCCTTAAATGTGGATGTTATCATCCTTCTTTTATGGAAGAGGAAAGTAGAAAACAGGAAAGGGATGCAATAATTGGCCCAAAGGTCACACAACTTGTAAATGATAAAATCAAGAGTTAAACTGAAATGTGTGTGAGCCCAAACTTCATGGTCTTTTTCCCATCCTGTTGTGGAAACCCAGGCACATCACATTTGATTAAGTGTTTAAGCTGATGGCCGGGCGCGGTGGCTCACTCAATTCCAGCACTTTGGGAGGCCAAGGTGGGCGGATCACGAGGTCATGAGATCGAGACCATCCTGGCCAACATAGTGAAAGCCCGTCCCTACTAAAAATACTAAAAATTAGCTGGGCATGGTGGCGCATGTCTGTGGTCCCAGCTATTTGGGAGGCTGAGGCAGGAGAATCGCTTGAAACTGGGAGGTGGAAGTTGCAGTAAGCCAAGATCGTGCCACTGCACTCCAGCCTGGGCGACAAAGCGAGACTCCGTCTCAAAAAAAAAAAAGTGTTTAAGCTGATGTTGGTGATTATTCTAGAACACCTCCATGCTCTCCACACCCCCATCCCAGAACATTTCACTCTCCCAGGCCACTCAAAAAAATAAACATAAAAATAAACAAACAAGCAAAGCAAACAAACACACCCCACAGTTTGGTAGACAAGAGAACCAATGAGCAAGGGGCACTGTGTGAAGTCATATAGCTGGTCAGTGATAGAGGTGAGACCAGAAGTGGGAGTCCAGGTCCTTAGACTCCCTCTCCAGTGCTCTTCCCAGGCTGAGCTATAACCAGTCTTCCAGTCTTTTTTTTTTTTTTTTTAATTTTAAGAGACAAGGTCTCACTCTGCCATCCAGGTTGGAGTGAAGTGGTGTGATCACGGATCACTGCAGCCTTGACCTCCCAGTCTCAAGCAATCCTCCCACCCCGGTTTCACAAGTGGCTGGAATTACAGGGGTAAGCCACTGCACCCAGCTATCTCTCCCGTTCTTAGAATCCTTCAGGAAAGGAAATCCCCCAGCCTTCCTGTTCTAATCTCTCTTAAATTGGTCCATTCCTTTCCAAACCTCTGATGACTTTAAGTGAAATAACCTATATAAAGCATATATTGGGCACCAAAAAATTTGTTATTCCTTTCTTCTACCTGAATGATTATTCTTTTACCTGAAAAATTATTTTATTAGGCACCAAAAAAATTATTATTCCTTTTTCTCACCTGAATGATGAATGATTGAAACAGACCACTAACTAGTCTGTCTCCTTGCTGACCCCCTAAAGTATCTGCTCTCCACTGCCAGGATAATCTTCCTACAGGGCAGCTCTGATCATGTCATTCTTCCTTTTTTTTTTTTTTTGAGACAGGGTCTTGCTCTGTCGCCCAGACTGCAGTGCAGTGGCAGGATCTTGGCTCACTGCAACTTCCACCTCCCAGGCCCAAGCGATCTTCTCCCATCCTAGCCTCCTGAGAAGCTGGGACTACAGACGTGGTCGCCACCACAACTGGCTAATTTTTTGTCTTTTTGGTAGAGATGGGGTTTCACCACGTTGCCTAGGCTGATTGCAAACTCAAGCGATCTGCCTGCCCCGGCCTCCCAAAGTGCTAGGATTACAGCCGTGAGCCACTGCACCCTTTTATTCATGGGGGATGTGCGATGGCTGTAATATAAGAGCAGTGCCTGCACATCCCCCATGAATAAAAGTGACTTTGCTCTTTTGAATATTTTTATAATTTGTAATGTGCTCTACTGCATTTATGTGCATTCTGCTTTGGATTATCCCTACTAGTGACTAGAATAAAAATAATAGCTTTTATTTGTATAGGTATTTATAGCTACAAAGCACTTTTATAGACATTAGCCCACTAATCTTAAGAATAATGCTGGCCATGGTGGCTCACGCCTGTAATCCCAGCACTTTGGGAGGTCGAGGCGGGCGGATCACCAGAGGTCGGGAATTCCAGATCAGCCTGGCTAACATGGTGAAACCCTGTCTCTACTAAATATATAAAGTTAGCTGGGCATGGTGATGCGCGCCAGTAATCCCAGCTACTCAGGAGGCTGAGGCAGGAGAATCACTTGAACCCGGGAGGTGGAGGTTGCAGTGAGCTGGGATAGTGCCACTGCACTCCAGCCTGGGTGACAGAGTGAGACTCAGTCTCAAAAAAAAAAAAAAAAAGAAAACAAAACACAACAAAAAAAAAACGAATAAAGATGGCTGGGCACGGTGGCTCATGCCTGTAATTCCAGCATTTTGGGAGGCTGAGGCAGATGGATCACCTGAGGTAGGGAGTTCAAGACTGGCCTGGCCAACATGGTGAAACCTCATCTCTACAAAAATACAAAAAGTAGCCGGGCATGAAGGCAGGTGCCTGTAATCCCAGCTACTTGGGAGGCAGAGGTGGGAGAATCGCCTGATCCTGGAGGACAGAGGTTGCAATGACCCGAGATTGCGCCATTGCACTCCAGCCTGGACGACTGAGGGAGATTCCATCTCAAAAAAAGATTACCTCTTATTTATTTATTAACACAGTTACCAACACAACTTTTAAGTAACATCCTTCATTTTTTGTTTGGTTTTTTGTTTGTTTTTGAGATGGAGTCTCGCTCTGCTGCCCAGGCTGGAGTTCAGTGGCACAATCTCCGCTCACTGCAATCTCCACCTCCTGGATTCAAGCAATTATCCTGCCTCAGCCTCCAGAGTAGCTGGGATTACAGGCACATGCCACCAGGCCCAGTTAATCTTTGTATTTTCAGTAGAGACAGGGTTTCATTATGTTAGCCAGGCTGGTCTTGAACTCCTGACCTCAGGTGATTCACCCTTCTCAGCCTCCCAAAGTGCTGGTACAGGCGTGAGCCACTGCGCCCAGCCTCTATGTTTGTTTTTTAAAGAGACAGGGTTTCACTCTGTTGCCCAGGCTGGAGTGCAGTGGTGCAATCATAGCTTACTGTAACCTCAAACTCCCCAGGTCAAGTGATCCTCCCACCTCAGCCTCTCAAGTAGCTAGGACTACAGGTGCACACCACCATGTCTGGCTAATTTTTAAATTTTTGTATAGATAAATCTCGTTCCATTGCTCAAGATGAACATTCTTACTTTTATCATTTCAACATGTATCTACAAACATCTCATTACATACAAAACATTCTTTTCCACTAAGCCTTTAAACCGCATGGATTACCTCGTATTTATCTTTGTCTCCCCCAGGATACTTAGCACAATGTTTTACACGAAGTACATGCTCCAGTACAGAACTGTTAATACTGTGTTCTCAGCGTGGTCTGACCAACCCAGAGGAGAAGAGTTAACAGCTCCTCATCATAGGATCAGAGGTTTGGAGGCTGTTTGAAGGCAAAATTGTAATGTATTTTTCCAAGTAGACACCCCACAGCATTTATCAGATTCTTAAGTTTAGAGATCTCCAAAATAATAAACACCACAGTTCTAGTTTCTATAATCTCTAGGAAATGCTGCCTAAGACTATATATTAAGACGCTGGGAAATGCTGCCTAAGACTGTATATATATAACTCTTGGGGCACCTTATCACAATCGATTCATATTGAGCTTATAGGATTACCCCACTCCATGAAGAAACTCATCCATTTACCTGCATTTTGGGTGGGAGGGGGGTGCAATGTGGTTCCCTCAAGGTCAGGGACCACACTCAATTCAAGGTTGTATTCCTAGAATTTAGCACAAACCTGCTATTGAGGAATAATAATTACAAGAACCATGAGCTGTTGAGTCACCATTTACATGCATCAGGCACTGCTCTAAGTAGTTCATTAATTAACTCATTTCATTTTACAACAAATTTTGTCTGGTATTATTATTTCCCTCATCTTACGTATGAGGAAAGTGATGCACAGATAAGTTAAATAACTTTTCCAAGGTCATACAGCTTGTAAGTGGTGGAGCCAGGCTTTGAACCCAAGTAATCTGGCTCCAAAGCCGTGCTCTTAACCATCTGCCGAACTTGCACTGCCAGTCATTTGATAAATGAGTGAATAAATGTAAGAATGAATGAGAAGAGGCACTGAAGATGTTTTTGCTGAATGAACAATCAACCAATCATTAACCCACCTTTTGTCTCTACCCTGTATAATCTATAGGATTATCATGAGAGTCCTTCTCAAACTTTCCTTGCATTCAACTAGAGAATCTCTCCAAGTAATTCCCTATCTATCAGTATAGAATTCCTGTCAGTAACATTAAAAAGCTTGGTTTAATTCTTAGTGAACTACTCTTAGTGGACTAAGAACTATGAGTGAACTAAGTTTTCTCAGAACACCAAGCACTAGGCAAGGGTTTTACCTGTCCTCTTCACTGCTGTGCACGTAGAAGAGTGTCAGTGCACATTCAATGTACAATGGTGGAATGAATGCCCAAAAGATAAAATGCAAACTCCTTCAGTGGCTCTGGCGAGATTAAACTGCTTTCAGTTCACCTCATTCACCACACTCCATTCCCCATCCTGCCCCAATTCCTACTCATTGTTCAGATCTCTGCAAACACTTAATTTCCTCCAAGAAGTCTGACCATCAAAAAGGCCCCACTGATGAGTTCACAAGGCAACCCATATTTCCCCCACTCAATGACTTAAAAGTACCTAAAGTCACTAGTAAACAATCAAGATGTTAGTCAAATTAATGAATAAATGAATGAGTTCCTTTTTAACATGATCTGATAGACTTAAACCCTTGTGATCCTATTGTCTTCCAGAAATGACTTTAAGAACCACTTGTGTCATTACTGGCTCTTGGGGAAGCTCCATCTCATTCAGGACTCGAGCCTCATGAACATTTTTTTTCTCACAGTCCCCTTCAGCATAGCACAGAAGGAACACAGGTTCTAGAGGTTTCCTGACCTAGACTCAAATTTTGGCTCCTCTCAAGTTAATTGTACAAGCTCTTTATTATTATTATTATTTTCAGAGACAGGGTCTCACTCTGTCACCCAGGCTACAGTGAAACCTGGATGCAATCAGAGTGGTGCAATTATAGCTCACTGCAGCCTCAAACTCCTGGGCTCAAAAGATCCTCCCACTTCAGCCTCCTGAGTAGCTGAGACCACAAGTGTGCGCCATCACACCCTAATTGTTTTTATTTTTATTTTTAGTAGAGACAAGGTCTTGCTATGTTGCCCAGGCTGGTCTCAAACTCCTTGGCTCAAGTGATCATCCCATGTCAGTCTCCCAAGTGCTGAGATTACAGCATAAGCCACTATTCCTGGCCCCTATCTTTTAATTTAAAAAAAAAAAAAAATCTGCCTCCTTAAAGTCTAGAGTGAAAATCTAATATCTCTGGCTACAATGTTCCTCTCCCAGGATCCCAAAACAACCCATTTGCAAACCACCTCCCTTTTCTTGGTGAGAATTAAATCCACTCTACTGGTGCTCGCAGTCACAGCAATTTCTTTCACTCTCTGGGAGACACACAGCATGGCGAGTCAGGAATGGGACAAACACTCTGCTTTCAGAAAATGAGGGCTCTTAGGGAGACGTCAATAGTTGAAGGGCTCCATCATTACTACTATCTGGGCTTTGCTTAGTTTATTACCTGAGACAAAAAGAACTCATACCTGATTCTTCTACCTGGCAAGGCAAACTGTAGTTTTTCCTCAAAATGGAATCCTTTTGGCCCTCTACTCTTCTTCCCTCATCCTTATAACTTACGGTTTGCTGCAAAGGACGCCATCTAGTATGAGAGAAAGAGAGAAAGATGTGGCTGGAGAGAATGCTTCCACTCAAGCTTCTTCCTGGTGGGCTTGGCTTAGCGAGGCTTGAGGAATGAGCCACGTGTGTGAAACAACTCTCTAATATTAGGCACCCACCTCTATGGTGGAACAGTGGCAGGAGTGACACAGTCATGATGGAAGGATAACAGTTTCCAAAGAGGCAAACAATCTTTGGCTTCTCTGAAATACTGTGAAGCCTCTGCTAGGTGAGACTTCCTACAGAGAGTTCTCAGGAAGAGGAAGGAGTGAATTGCTAAGGCTTCCTTCAGCCACAGGTCTTATTTCTGCTTCAGGACTACAGTGAACCTCTCTCTTCTTCCTTCTCTATACCCTGAGGGCCTCTGCTCCCCAAAGCACAAATGTCTTCTGATTCTTTAGTCTCCTTAACCAGGGTGATGATTTGGGGTGAGTGAATTCCATCCCAATGTCCCAGTGTTTTGGGGAAGTAAATTTCCCAAAGACAAAGCCACTAATTGGGTCGGCACGAAACTCCAAAGTGTTGCAGGATAGGTCCTTTCACGGGTCATGTTGTGATCTGCGGGGTAGGCGTTCAGTTCCAGCATTGCTACTAACTGCATGACCTTGAGAAAGTCACTTTTTCTCAGGGAAGTGATGGCCCAGGTCCTTTCCAGTTTTGATACTCTATGTGATCTTACAAAATGCAAGAACAAGCTGGGAGAGGTGGCTCATGCCCGTAATCCCAACACTTTGGGAGGCCGAGGTGGGAGGATCACTTGAGACCAGAAGTTCGAGATCAGTCTAGGCAACATAGTGAAATCCTGTCTCAACAGAAAAAGAAAAAAAAAAAAGGCAAGAATAGTCCCTCAAGTTTCATTTTATAAAACAGATGCAAAATAAAGCAGATATGAAAATACCAAAACAAGAAATCTGCCTTAATTTCCCCAGGATCCTCCAAGTCCCAAACCTTCTATTAGTGTTGCTCAGAAGGCAGCAATATGACTTGATCAGATTATCCCACATCTCTTCCTTCCTTGGAAGGTAGACATAGAAATAAAAATGCATAGAAAAGCAGATGAGGCCCAGAAAAATTTATTATGCCTACATGCCCATGAGATGTCCCAGGCTGGTGACGTCTCATGGGCATTCAAGGAATCCATTAAGAATGAATTCTGAGGCTGGACATGGTGACTCACACCTGTAATCCTGGCCCTTTGGGAGGCTGAGGCAGGTGGATCACCTGAGGTCAGGAGTTCGAGACCAGCCTGGCCAACATGGTGAAACCCTGTCTCTACTAAAAATACAAAAAATTAGCCAGGCATGGTGGCACACGCCTATAATCCCAGCTACTCGGGAGGCTGAAGCACAAGAATCCCTTGAACCTGGGAGACGGAGGTTGCAGGGAGCTGAGATGACACCACTGCACTCCAGTCTGGGTGACAGGGTGAGACTCTGTCTCAAAAAAAAAAAATGAATTCTGAGGCTGGACATAGTGGCTCATGCCTATAATCCTAACCCTTTGGGAGGCCAAGGCAGGAGGTTCCTTTGAGGCCAGGAGTTTGAGACCAGCCTGGGCAACATACTGAGACCCCATCTCTACAAAAACTTAAAAAATTAGCCACATGTAGTGGTGCATGCCTATAGTCCAAGCTACTCAGGGTGGGGACTGAGGTCGAAGGATCACTTGAGCCCACTGCACTCCAGCCTAGGCAACAGGGAGAGACCCTGTCTCAAGAACAAACAAAAAGAATGAACTCCACAATTTTGCTGTCCCTTTCTGTTCTCCCAAGACCCAATATCTCTCTGAGTAGCACTGAGGCTATGAACACAGGGTAAGGAGTGAGACTGCTTGCTTCAAATCCCACCTCTATCATTTACTAGCTGGCTGACATCAGTGAGTGTTAGTGATTACATTACTTGCCAGCTCAGCATTATCCTCTCTATAGGCAGTAGCCAGCCTTTGGAAGGTGTTTATCCCTCCTCAATTCCTACAAATATCATGAGGCATCCTTTCCTTCTCTCCCAGTTCCCATCCTGCCAACACTATTTAAAGAAAAATACCCAAGGAATACAGCAGTTACCTTGGTATTGTCACACTACTCTTTCCTTAGCAAGAAAGAAAAGGTCCCAAAACATTCCCTACTCCATGTGGCCCTCAGATCCCACCCTATCCCCATCCCTCACAGATCTCCCTCCCTTATGTGGGAGGCTAAACCCAGTAAGAATAATCATTTGTAAAGTACTCTGTAGTTTTCAGGGTACTTTTGCACACATGATTCTGTTTAGTTCTTGGTAAGCAGCATTTCATTATTAATCCTGTGAGCCATGGCTACTCCCCCACCTCCATTTTACAAATATACAAACTAAATCTTAGGTCCACAAATTGTCTGTGCTCACATAGCTAAAAAGAAAGTCACACCAAGACACTGTTTTCTCTACTACTTCACATTATGATGTCCAAGTTCACATCCTGGGAACATGAGGAGCCTGAACCTTATAGCTAGTTACAAGCCCCTAAAAGGAACAGAGACCTCATTTTTCTACCCACTGGTCCAGGCCAGGGCCATCCCAGCTGAAGCACCACAGACATGATATAGATGCAAAGCACCAGGCACAGGAGGAGTGGGGACACCACCAAGCGGGGACCAAAGGCCCACGAGGGTATAGAGTATCTGCCAGAGCATACTAGGTCATGACAAAGACCAAAGGCATTCCAGACCACCAAGGAAGTCCAAAGGAGCTCCCCCAGAAACAGCCCAAGTCCCCAGATAAACTGACCCTTCCTCACCCAGCACACCCCCTTGGCCCTTTCTCACTCATGCTTCCAGTGGAGAAGGAAATAGACAAGCAGCCGGGTCTGAGAGCTTGATCAGATTCAGCCATACACACTCAGCAGTAAGCTCAGAGCCATGGCAATCAAACCTCAGGCTCACCCAAAGGCCAAAGGAGAAGCAGCCACAGCCTGGGTCTAGGGCTCCAGCTCAGAGCCACCATCTCTTCAGATGCTGGCTGCCAAGCAGAGCTATAAAATGTGCCTCGACTTAATTTTTCCATGGACACAACCTCAAGATGGGCCAGCCAGACTCTGGAGGAGCTGGGATTCCAAAGTCTCACTGCCTGTCTGCTCTGGGATCGGCAGCTGGAGTTGGGGAGAGGGAAGTATTTGGGGGTCGGCATTGCCACCTCCTGGGCCATTTCTCTTCCTAATATCTTCCCAAAGCCTGATGCAGCAACAGAGTAAGTTTTCATTCAGCACTGATTCAGGGTTGGAATTTAGTACAAATTGCTTACATCTGCCTGGCCATATCCCAAATAGGTAGTTTAGAGCAAGGAGGAGGGGCAGCATTGGCCCACTTCTTGGAGCCCGGGTAGCCGCCTGCTAAAGAATCTGGTGCCATGCTGGGACCAGCCAGCCCAGGGTACAAAACTCTCCAACAGAGTTGAGAAAAAACAGCCCAAGAGAGCTGCCAGAGACAATACAGCGATTCCATCCCAGGCATGATTGGAAGGGCTGGGGCAGGGAAGCTACGAAGACCCCAGAAGCGGGTGGAGAGGAGAAAAGGCAGGCCTGAAGGAGCAAGAGCAATGGCAGAAAACACACACACACACACACACACACACACACTTCAACATCAGCCAACTAGGGTGTGTGCACTAACCTCATACATTTGGTAACCTCTTCCCACAATCCAGAAGCCTGCCAAGCCCCTGGGCTCCCCACCCTACTCCACCCCACACCAGCTTGGCAGCCTTGCTTGTGCTTCCTGCTGCGATTGCTCCTCCAACATCAAAGTCACCGCTGTCGGGAGCTGAAAATGAGGGACAAGTATAGGCCAGGAGAGCAGCGCCTTCTCCCAGCACCGGCGAACTCAGGCCTGAGGGTCCCTCTCCCTCTTTCAAGCTTTCAGTCTCCTTTTGCTGCAGTATCCTTATAAGGGAGAATCCAATTCTACCCTCCGCCCGACTAAGAAACGTACACATTCCCCAGGCTAGATGCCGACTTCTCACCCAGTCCACAGAAGGCACTAACCCCATCACAGGACAGGTTTTGCTTTTTTTATTTCTTATCTTAAATAAACAAACCCCAAAGCCATTGACTGGTTCAGATCGCCCTGCAGCTGGGAGCCAGGAAGTGTGTTTAGCGAGAAGGGGGTGGGGACGCGGGTGCCTGGAGCCCCAGAGGCCCTGAAGCTGCTGGAGTGGAGTGGAGTGGGGTGAGGGGCAACCTGCTCTGCCCGGCGGGCAGGAGCTCAGGCTCCCACGGCGTCCGCCGCTCAGCCCGCCGCCAGGAACCCTCGGCTGCTTCCATTGTTGCACCTCCGCTGTTGCCATGTTGGAGGGAGAGCCCCCTGACCTCGGCTGCCTCCACTCTGGGGGCACTTTACAGACGCTGGGGCCGATGCAACCCGCAGGATGCGTGTCCTACCTGCGCTAGCTGCTGGCTCTGCTGCAACATCCGACGTGTCTTGTGCCTGGCGACGTGGGCTGCTCGCTCCGCGCCTCCCGGGCTCGCTCTGCGGCTCCAGGCGCCTCTTGCACCAGCGCGAGAGGAGCTGGCCGGCCGCACGCCGCCTGCTCCCGGGCCGCTCCCCTCTCCAGGCTCCGCACAGACCCTAGGCTCCAAGGGGCAGAGGGAGAGGCAGCAAAGGGCGCAAGGACCAGCTTGTGGGGGTGGGGAGGGGTGCTCTCCGCCGAGAGCGTGCGCGAGCTCGCAGAGTCAGGCCACCCCGGGTGAGACAATAGCGGCAGCAGCGGGCGAGAGAGGGGAAGCCATCTCCCGGACACCCGGCGCACTGCACGGCGACGCGACGCTCGGCCAGACCCTGCCTGGACAGGCAGGCACCCGGCCGCCGGCTCCAGCCGCAGCGCCGAATCCGCCGCGAGCCGGAGGGCGGGGCGGCTGCTGGAACCCGGGCCGCCCTTCGCCTCTCCCCTCCCCTTCCCCCTCCTCTTCTCTTCTCCTCTCCTCCTCTCCCCTCCGACTCCCGCCCCACTTGCCATTGCGTGGGGGAAGAGAAACGCGCTGGCGTCAAGTTGTGCTCTGCAACCCAAGAGCCAGGATTTCCACTCCCCACTTGGGTGAGGGTTTTTGCGGATGGTCGTTAGTTTCCCCTGCTGGAACCCCTTGGCTTTGGGTCAGAGGAAAGCTCAATCATTCTGCTAGAAATGACGGTGCTGAGGTCCAGTTATCCGTTTCAGGAATTTCTACCATAATTACGGTAGCGATGTTCGGGGGATCCCCTACCTTGAGGGTTAGGTTGGGGTAGAGAGAGGCTGTCTCCGGGCTTTACACGCTCAGTGTCATTCGTCTTTCTGTCTCCTTCCTTCCTCCCTTTCTGGAAGGGGAGTCTCGTTTGTTTTTGTATTCGCCCAGGTGGATCTTCCGAGCTGCGATCCAGGAAACAGCAGTCAACCTAAGTAGGGAGGGGAGATAGAGGATCCTCCAACCCAACTAGGGTAGTGAGAAAAAAAAGTAAAAAAAAAAAACCTTTCATACAATATGTTATATTTAAATTTTCTACTCTAAATACCTTTCTTCCAGCAGTGGTCTCTGGAAGAATTTTCCTAAAGGCTCCACCCAAAAGAAACCATGAGTTGGCCAGCTCCTCGTTTGCATTTGGTTTGCATAGTACCAACGATCACTAATCTCAAAGTATATTTTCCTAAAAACGTGAATCGTGTTTTCCTCCACTGCCCTCATTTCTTCTTTCTTTCTCGACAGACTATGAAGATTAACACCTGGTCCTCAGCCTCTCAAGTAAAACCATGATTAAATAAATTTGTTATGCTTTTCTCTGGTTAACTTGTCTTTTGTTATAGAAGTGTCGGCTGTGACTCTTATGATGGGGAGGAAAGGGATCACTCCCCTTTCTGATCCTACAGTGCCTTCTGTACCCAATGCTTGTGACTTTCAGTATTCCACTTCACCCTCTGAATATCAAGAATAGCGTCCTCACCTATCACGCTTTCGTAATGATCAAAGGAGAGAATGTAGGTGAAACATCTTGATAATTAACTGAAGGCAGCTTGGTCTGCACATATGTCATAATGTATATGATGCTACTCCTGATCTCAGGAGCCACAGGGGTTAAAAAACGTGTCCGTGCACTTCTTCACCATACAAATATTTATGACAGCTTACTCTGTGTCTGTCATCAGGTCAAGCTCAGGAGCCTGAGAGAACAGAGTGTTACAGGGGCCACTGGTGGTTCTTTTTTTTTTTTTTTTTTTTGAGACGGAGTCTTGCTCTGTCGCCCAGGCTGGAGTGCAGTGGCGTGATCTCGGCTCGCTGCAAGCTCTGCCTCCCGGGTTCACGCCATTCTTCTGGCCCAGCCTCCGGAGTAGCTGGGACTACAGGCGCCCGCCACTATGCCCAGCTAATTTTTTCTTTTTTTTTTTTTTTTTTTTTGTATTTTTAGTAGAGACAGGGTTTCACCGTGTTAGCCAGGATGGTCTCGATCTCCTGACCTTGTGTTCCACCCACCTCGGCCTCCCAAAGTGCTGGGATTACAGGCGTGAGCCACCGCGCCCGGCGACCACTGGTGGTTCTATGCTGCTGGGGTGAAAAGTCTGAAGGAAAGAACTAACAGGAAGTAGGCATAGGTAGCTGAGTGGAGGATCAGATCACAGGCTTTATCATGCATTTTGGTAAGGAAAAAATTGAATAAAGAGAAACCAGGGCATGCCAAAAAGTTTAGGTGCTGTAGGTGACAGAGAACCTGCTGTGCACAAATGGAACTGGGAAGTAGTGTGACCAGAAAAAGACTTCCTGGCATATTATAGAGAAGGATTTGGAAGATGCACTGCATGTCTTCCGTTTGCCCCTCCAGATCTTCCTGGCCCTCTGGCTTCCTAGACTGGGTTGGCCAATGGGGGCCATGGCTGAAGATTGAATAAGGAGGGAGGTCAGGGGAAACTGGATATTTATTCTTCAGGATTCCTCTCTTTGGGGTCACAGTGCGCTGGCTGCCACCCTCAACCAAAGATCACAGCTTCCACGGGTGGTTCTCTCTCCCCTCCCTCTCTCTTTTGTTTTTCTTTTTTTCTTTTTCTTGAGACCGAGTCTCACTCTATTGCCCAGGCTGGAGTGCAGTGGCTTACTGCAACCTCTGCCTCCCGGGTGCAAGCGATTCTCCTGCCTCAGCCTCCTGAGTAGCTGGGACTACAGGCGCATGCCACCATGCCCGGCCAAATTTTTTTTGTATTTTTAGTAGAGACAGGGTTTCACTTTGTTAGCCAGGATGGTCTCAATCTCCTGACCTCATGATCCACCCTCCTCAGCCTCCCAAAGTGCTGGGATTACAGGCGTGAGCCACAGTGCCAGCCCCCTCCCTCTCTCTTGATTCAGGTAATCACTCCCCTCCTTTGACTTTTCGGGCCTGGGGGTGGAAACATTGATTTGCTACTGGCCCTAGTAGATTGTACACTATTTCTTGTGGTTTTCCTGTACTCCGCCGACCCTTTATAAATTGTCCCCTTATTTTTTAACCTCTCCTCAAATTACCCCTCAAGTGCAGTGTGCCATTTGCTTTCTGCCAGGACCTAGTAACACAAGTCAGGAGTGCAGCCTGGGAGCTCAACAGAGAAACCATGGCTACGTTCCAGGTGGGAAATCAGGGAATCTCAAAACTGTGCCAGAGCTGTGGCAGTGGGGATGAAAAAAACGGAGCAGATACAAAAGATACTTATAAAGAGAAATCAATAGTATTTGATAAATATATAAAATGTAGGAAATTAGGGAAGAGGAGGACTCTGGAATTACTCCCCATTTGAAGCCTTAGAAATTGTTGGCAGGTGGTACCATTCCCTAAGTTAGGGACAATTAGAAAGACAGGGCCCAGGTGTTGGCAGAGGGATCTTGAGCTTAATTTTGAACATGTTGGGTTTGAGGTATCTGTGGAATGTCTAGATGGGGATGTCTAGTAGACAGCAAACTTATGAAACTAAACTCATATTGGGGTGTGAACAAGTGATAGCAGCTTTGGATTCTGTAGGTTATGGGTAGTCAGTGAAGTTATAAGCCTGTATGAGGTCGTCCAGATGGGCATAAGGAGGAAAGAAGAAACAACCAGAGAGGTAAGAGAAAAACTGGAGGCCACAGAGTGTCAGAAACTAGGGTGGGAGAATCTCAGAAGAGAATGACTGGATAACCAGTGCAGCAGGAACCTCCAGGAGGGTAGGCTAGAAAATGCCTCCAGTGGATTCTAGGCCTAATTCATTCCCTGATTCAAAGCTGGTGCTCAATAAATTATTGGTCACTAAGTGAATGAATGAACCTGGATCTGGAATAAAAGACACATGCTTTTTCTAGAAGCTTGGCAATTTAAGACAAGGAGAAATATAAGGCAGTGGGTAGAGGGGAATGCAGGATCAAAGGGGAGACTTTTGTTTTTTCTTTTTAGGATAAGAAAGGCTTAAGCATTTTCATATGCTGAAGAGTAAGACCAAGGAGAGCGAGATCATGAATAGGAGGGAGTTGGGACCCAGGTATATGGGGTGGAGCTGCCTCTGATATCTTTGAGAGGAAGGCTGTACAAAAGCAGAGGCATCTGTAGACTGGTAAAGAGACTAGAACTTGAGACTAGATGTTGAGAGGACTAGTTGCTGCCTTGTAGTCTCTAAGCAATCTGCTGAGAGAGAAAGGCTCAAGATGAGGTTAAAGGCTTAAAGAAAGTGGTTAAGGTTGCTGGGCACGGTGGCTCACGCCTATAATCCCAGAACTTTGGGAGGCCGAGGTGGACGCATCACCTAAGGTCGGGAGTTCCAGACTAGCCTGACCAACATGGAGAAACCCCGTCTCTACTAAAGATACAAAAATAGCTGGGCGTGGTGGCGCATGCCTGTAATACCAGCTACTCGGGAAGCTAAGGCAGGAGAATCGCTTGAACCAGGGAGGCAGAGGTTGCGGTGAGCCGAGATCGCGCCATTGTACTCCAGGCTGGGCAACAAGAGTGAAACTCCATCTCAAAAAAAAAAAGTGGTTAAGGTTAAAATAGAAAGGAATAAGGAATGAGAGTGGTAGCTCCAGAGAGAGGAGAGAGAGAGAGAATTGTCAGCAGAGTTGAAGATACAGCTGGCATTGGATACTCTAATATGTTGTGGCTATGAATAAAAACATCCGAATGTTTTCATCATTTTCTTCTGCAGCACTTGGAAGCCCAGGTGTAGAACATGAGGTCAGGTTTCCAAGATAGGTACAGTAGAGGCATAAAAGGAAAAGAGGGCTCCTGACAAAAGAGGAAGTCCTCAAGGACGGAAGTGAAGCTCAGCAAAGGCTGTGAATCTTCAAGAAGCGGGAGGAAAGGGACTGAGCTACCTCTAATCTTATTCCCCTTCCAATCTTTTCTCAAGTAACCCAGCCAGGGTGATGTTTCCAAAGCAAACATCTGCTTCTCCTGCTTAAAATCAACTAACATGTAGGACATGGCATTTTTTGACTTTGGTTTTTAAACATCTGTATTCTCAGAGCCTAGAACAATGCCTGGCACTTGTGCTCACAAAATTTTTGGCAGATGAATTAATGCATGACTTTCTCTAACTCTTAAAGTCCAATCTCCTAAGGAAACTCTGAATTCTCTCACAGTCAGCCCTTGCTTTTCATTCTAGCCTCAGAGAACAAGGACTTTGTCTTGTGCATCCCTGCATCTCCCAAACTGCACCCACCACATAGTATTCAATAAATATGTATTGAATGAATAGCCTCCCACATTCCAATGTAAACTTCATACTTGGGCCTTACGAAACTCCCTACAGTTCCTAGAATGCACAATATTCTCACCTAACGGCCCTTCCACATGGTTTCCTGGAAAGGGCCTCCTACCTCCAATCCCCACCTCTACCCGCTTCCTTTTATGCAGCTGTCTCTCTACATGGTAGGCAGAATAATGGCCTCCCAAAGGAGGAAATGTCCACTTCCTAATCCCTGGAACCTATGGCTGCATTATTTTACAAGGCAAAAGGATTTTACGGATGTGATTAAGTTAAGGCCCTTGGGAGTGGAAGATTAGCCTGGATTATCCAGGTGGGCCCAATCTAATTACGTCAGTCCTTAAAAGCTGCAAACCTTTCCTAGCCGAAGTCAGGGAGAGATGTGATGACGCAAGACTGGTTGGAAAAATGCAACATTGCTGGCTTGAAAGTTGAAGCATGGAGGTCCTGAGCTGGAGGGGGTGAATGGCCTCTAGAAACTGGAAAGGTCAAAAAACAGATCCTGCCCTAGAGCCTCCAGGAAGGAACATGACCCTGCAGATACTTGATTTTAGCCCAGTGAACCCCATGTTGGGCTTTTGATCTGCAGAACTGTAGGATAATAAATTTGTGTTCCTTTAATCCACTAAATTTGTGGTCATTTGTTATAGCAGCAATAACAAACTAATACATCCTACAACAAATTCTCTGCAAAGTTTCCCTAGAGTGCCTCCTAAGAGTGTCTAGACACACCCAATAGCTACTTGGATTATAACACTGATCATGGGTGTTATATATAATTGCTTGTCCACTTTTTTCTGAATTGGGGAGGGGACAGAAGAGGAGGGCAACGGACTGTAAGCGCCTTAAAGACAAGGAATCTCCATTATTTTTACCTTTGAATTTCTAGGCCTAATTCATTGCCTCATTCAAAGCTGGTGCTCAATAAATTCTTGGTCAATAAGTGAATGGATGAAAACCTGGATCTAGTTTACAGGAAGACAGAGTGACTGAGCCAGAAAATGAAAAGCTTGAGAGTCTAAGATTTCAGTGGTGACCGGGTGTGATGGCTCATGCCTGTAACCCTGGCACTATGGGAGGCCTAGGCTGGTGGATTGCTTGAGCCCAGGGGTTCAAGACCAGCCTGGGCAATATGGCAAAACCTCATCTCTACAAAAAACACAAAAAATTAGCTGGGCATGGTGGTGTGTACCTGTACTACCAGCTACCCAGGAGGCTGAGGTGGGAGGATCACCTGAGTCCAGGAGGTCGAGGCTGCAGTGAGCCATGATGGTACAACTGCATGCCAACCTGGGCAACAGAGTTGAGGTCCTATCTTAAAAAAAAAAAAGATTTCAGTGGTAATAATAAGTAGATTACTGGTGAGGGAGCAAATGGCTGAAATCAATGGAAGGAGATGATGGTAGAATCTGTTTATCTGTGCTATATTCTCTCATAGGTCTGCTCTAGGCTAGGACTAATCTGTAATACAACTCAAAACTAATATTTTGAAAGACAGTATTTATAACAATTTTATTTTAAAATCCTTCAGTAGGCTTTCTTCAAAAATATTCAAATATCTTTGAAAGATGATTGGATGTTAGAGATGGGGTGGGGTGCTCTGTAAATATTTTATGTATAGATTGACTTCTTCAATCCTTTGACTCTTACTGGCTTTGAAATCAGTCCTACTTCTTCCCTACACCTTTTCAATGATCCATGACATTTGAGGGCTGCATTGTTTAGGGAGTATTTATTCCAGTATCTGAGCTCTTGATGCTATGTAAGATTCTTGGGCTCAGCCAGGCATGGTGGTTCATGCCTATAATTCCAACAGTTTGTGAGGCTGAAGCAGGAGGATCCCTTGAGCTAAGGGAGTATAAAAGTAGCCTGGGCAACATACCAAGACCCCATCTCTACGAAAACATTTTTAAAAAAAATTCACCAGGCATGGTGGTGCATGCCTGTAGTCCCAGCTACTCTGGAGGCAGAAGTGAGAGAATCACTTGAGCCAGGAGATTGAGGTCACAGTAAGCTATGATTGCAACACTGTCTCAAAACAAACAAACAAACAAAAACAACCTGTACTATACATCTTCTTAGTACCTTGTGATGGTGTCAGCTCCAAAGACTCTATGCACTATACTGTGGCGATAGAAGACTGGGCCCCAGAGTAGGTAGCTACGACTTGGTGTTGGTTTGGGGAACTCTGGGAAGGAAGGGTCCACAACTTTCCCCCTCTGTGCCTAGCTCACTGCTGTGGAAACAGTGGGTAATCAGATTGATGGTGATTTTTTTCCAAAGGCAGTAATTCTGATGAGAAGGAGGGTAAAAAACATCCCTTTAAAGATTATTATAGTAGGGATCAACAAAATGAAAAGGCAACATACAGAACGGGAGAAAATATTTGCAAACCATATATCTGATCAGGGATTAACATACAAAATATATAAGGAACTCATAAAACTCAATAGCAAAACAAAACAAAAACAAATAACCAGAATTTTGTTTGAATGTGCAAAGGACTTCAATCAACATTTTCCCAGAGAAGACATACAAATGACCCACAGGTATATGAAAAGGTGCTCGACATCATTAATCATCAGAGAAGTGTAAGGCAAAACCATAACGAGATATCACCTCACACCTGGTAGTGTGGCTACTCTCAAAAAGTCAAAAGATTACAAGTGATGTCGAGGGTGTGGAGAAAAGGGATCTTTGTACACTGTTGGTGGGAATGTAAACTGGTACAGCCATATGGAAAACAGTATGGAGTTTCCTTTAAAATATTAAAAATAGAACTACTGTAAGAACCAGCAATCCCACTTCTGGGAATATATCCAAAGGAAATGAAATCAGTATGTTAAAGAGAGATCTGTGCTTCCATGTTCATCGCAGCATTATTCACAATTGACAAGATGTGGAATCAGCAGAAGTATCTGTCTACAGGTGACTGGATAAAAAATATGGGGTCCGGGTGCGGTGGCTCATGCCTGTTATCCCAGCACTTTGGGAGGCCGAGGTGGGCAGATCACCTGAGGTCAGGAGTTCAAGACCAGTCTGGCCAAAATGATGATGAAACCCTGTCTCATTAAAAATACAAAAATTAGCTGGGCGTGGTGGCAGGCGCCTGTAGTCCCAGTTGCTTGGGAAGCTGAGGCAGGAAAATCACTTGAAACCAGGAGGCAGAGGATGAGGTTGCAGTGAGCTGAGACCATGCCACTGCACTCCAGCCTGGACAACAAGGGTGAAACTCCATCTAAAGAAAAAAAAAAAAGAAACAAAGAAAGAAAATGTGATACATAAGGAAATCCTGCCATTTGCGACAACATGGACAAATCTGGAGGACTTTATGCTAAGTGAAATAAGCTAGAAACAGAAAGACAAATACTATATTATTTCACTTATATGTGGAATCCAAAAAAGTTAAACTCATAGAAACAGCAGAATGATTACCATGGGGCTGGCAGGTGAGGGAAACAAATAGATCTTGATCAAACAGTACAAATTTTCAGTCGTAAGATGAATAAATTTCGGGGATCTAACATACAGTACAGTGACTATAGTTATTAATAATGTATGGTGTACTTGAAATTTGCTAAGAGTGTAATCTCAAGTGTTCTCACCACACCACACGCACACAGTTTAAAAATAGTGGGAGAAATTAAATTTAAGAACTAGGAGAATCACCAAATATATAGAATCTGTGAGTTTAGCCTGCCCTCTAGTGGGAAAATTAAGTTCAACAGTCTGCATAAAGAAGCTTCAAGAAGCACTCCAGGAAGATTTTATGCTAAAGTACAAGATGGCACTTGTGGTGTTTTTGATGCAACATAAATGAAGCAAACAGATTCATTTCATGCTATTTCGGGTGGACTTTGCAATGTTAACAAGCCGATCTTTCAATAGCTCACCATTGCCTGTAGGATAAAATCGTTTGCCTTAGCCTGATGGAAGTGTAGTCTCCAATGTGACCTTACTCCTCTGTATCTCCTTCTGCTCCAACAAGATTAAGTTATTCCCCATTCTCTAAATACACCTTGCAGTCCCCACATTCCTTCCAGATTTCCTGTTTTCCTCCCTACTGTGCCTAGCTCACTGCTGTGGAAGCAGTGGGTAATGAGTAAGCAAATTTTAGATTGATTAATCCCATTCAGTTTAATTTTAAACAGCAGGTTTTGTTATCCCGGAAGAAAGGGAGTGTGATGTAACAAAGCCTTGGGGAGGAAAAAACTTGAAGACCCCTTTATCTATTCTTGCCCTTTTAAGGAGGCCTGGATAGACACCATTTCCCTTCCCTAAAATTTAAGTGTTATAATTTATTTCCACATCTCATTCATAGAAACAGTTCTAGCAGTTTTTCCTTATCTAACACAGTGGGTGCTGAAAAAAATATGTCTAAATAAATAAATGTCTGTGTTTTGCTCATTACAATTTCTTCAGTACACCTCTAACATTGTTTAAACTGTTTTACTGTTTAACTTGTTTAAACTGTTTAAACTGAAATATGATCATGCAGTTTCCCTGCTGAAAACTCAAGGGCCCAGCCACCCTTATTTTATAAACCCTGCTTTCCTGTCCATCTTCATCTGCCGCCACTCCACTTTATGTTGAAATTGTTTGTTTCTGTGTGTGTCTTCTTTCCTAGACTGTTAGCAGGACCCATGTCCTACTCATCTCAGACTCTAGGGCTAGCGCATAGCCTAACCTGTAATAGACGATCAGTAAATGTTTGTTGAATTAAATCACTCCATTCTGGCAAATTTTGAGTCTGTTCCTTCTAATCTTATTCACAATGGAAAAAAGTAACAGAATGGTAAAACTTTAGAATTACAAGTTATCTCGAGGCCATCTAATCAATTTCCCTTGTTTTATAAATGTGGAAACCCAGGCCTGCTCAGGATCACACAGTTTGTTGGTCTTTGTTCTGTAAGAATCAGACAATTGTAGGAAAGAAAAATTCCTCCAACTGAGGCTGAGCTATTTTGTTGTTCATTGTGTTCAGAAGCCACTAGTTCCCAGAAACTAAAATAAATTCCCTTATCAGTATTTGAAATTTCATAATCTTGTGTTCCACACCCCATGTGTCAGGGTTGATGAAATTTGATTTTAGGTGGCTGGGCGCAGTGGCTCATGCCTGTAATCTCAGCACTTTTGGAGGCCGAGGCGGGTGGATCACCTGAGGTACGGAGTTCGAAACCAGCCTGGCCAACATGGTGAAACCCCATTTCTACTAAAAATACAAAAATTTAGCCAGGCGTGGTGGCTTGTGCCTATAATCCCAGCTACTCGGGAGGCTGAGGCAGGAGAAACGCTTGAACCGAAGAAGTGGAGATTGC
Organism: Homo sapiens; assembly: GCF_000001405.40. Taxonomy (NCBI): domain Eukaryota; kingdom Metazoa; phylum Chordata; class Mammalia; order Primates; family Hominidae; genus Homo; species Homo sapiens. Next base: position 204,504,956 of record NC_000001.11, read on the forward strand.
AGTGAGCCGAGGTCACTCCATTGTACTCCAGCTTGGACAACAAGAGCGAGACTCCGTCTCAAAGAAAAAAAAAAGAAAAGAAAAGAAACTGATTTTAGGAAAAACTAGGCTGATCTGGAGATTTGTATTCTTAATACCCTATGTTGCTCCCACTGGTGCACACTGCTTTGGGAGGATTCATCTTATGAGATTGTCTTGAAAACTGCAACTTGAGGCCGGTGCGGTGGTTCACACCTGTAATCCCAGCACTTTGGGAGGCAGAGGCAGGCGGATCACCTGAGGTCAGGAGTTCAAGACCAGCCTGGCCAACATGGTGAAACCCCATCTCTACTAAAAAAATTCAAAAATATTAGCCGGGTGTGGTGGCAGGCGCCTGTAATCCCAGCTACTCGGGAGACTGAGGCAGGAGAATTGCTTGAACTTGGGAGGCAAAGGTTGCAGTGAGCCGAGATCCTGCCACTCCATTCCAGCCTGGGCGACTGAGTAAGACTCCGACTCAAAAAAAAAAAAAAAAAAAAAGAAAAGAAAAGAAAACGGCAACTTGCCTGAAAGGGGAGGAAAGGCAAAATTCAATCTAAATTAAAGGTCTAAACTCCTTTTCCCGCAATCTTAATTCAGACCTTTCCACAATCACGTCTATTTTCTTATAGTATTAGCTCCTCTGTGCATGAATCAAAAGTGTCTTTCCTTCTTTTGTGCTAAGTAATACTTATCTAACAACTACATCATCTGATGAATGGAAATGTATTTTTCATTAATGGGAGAGATGTTGTAATCTAGTTTGGTAGAATAATTAAAATTAAGAGATCTTATCAGGGAAGTGCTAAATAGAAGGCAGAAGTATAATAAAAAGAGGTTGCTCCTTGGCACAGCTGCAAAGATTGAAAGAAAAAAAAAGAAGAAAGGAAGGAAGGAAAGAAGGAAGGAAGGAAAGAGAGGTTGTAACCCCATGTCTAAATTTTGAATATTCATCTTGGTTGCCCATTTTTCTGTCATTTACTACCATTAATTTCCTTTTAGAGAGTTTAGTAAATACTGGTAACTTATCAAACATGAAACAGCTGAAGAACACATGTTCTTCATGGAACATGTGTGAATGGAACAAAAAGAAAAGGAAAGGAAAATATTTGTTTTGCTTTATCTTGCTAAAACAAAAAACAAAAAAAACCCTTTAATTCTAATTAAAACCTAAATGTAGCTACTTAAAAGGAAGCAGGCCGGGCGCGGTGGCTCACGCCTATAATCCCAGTACTTTGGAAGGCCAAGGTGGGCGGATCATGAGGTCAAGAAATCGAGACCGTCCTGGCCAACATGATGAAACTCCGTCTTTTCCAAAAATACAAAAATTAGCTGGGAGTGGTAGCGCGCGCCTGTAGTCTCAGCTACTCGGGAGGCTGAGGCAGGAGAATCACTTGAACCCGGGAGGCGGTGGTTGCAGTGAGCCGAGATCGCGCTACTGCACTCCAGCCTGGCGACAGAGTAAGACACCATCTCAAAACTGAAAAAAAAAAAAAAAGAAAAAAAGGTAGCAACCTATATGGAGTGAACAGAAAGAGCTTTTCTTCGGGAGCGCCCGGATAGCTCAGTCGGTAGAGCATCAGACTTTTAATCTGAGGGTCCAGGGTTCAAGTCCCTGTTCGGGCGTTTGTAGTTTTCGTTACTTTAACCTGCTAAATTATCCCATCAAGTCCCAAGAGCGGACATCGTAAACCCTTACATTTCAAGTTGAATTCAAATCATTTTTCACTGGGTTCAGAATATGCTAGATAGACGTGTTTTCAGGGAGGAAAAAAAATGACTGAAAAGTCATTTAATTTCTTGGAGAGTATCGAGGTCTGGCACAGTGGTTTCCCAGAAAAATATTTGTTTTTTGATGGCTCATAATTGAGAAAGGAAGAAAAAAACTTAAAAGCAAGCACCTTGTGCTCTCACCACAAAAAAAGGTATGCGAGGTAATGCATAACCTTATCAGTTTGATTTAATCATTCAACAATATATACGTATTTCAGAACATGGTGTTATACACCATAATGTGTACAATTTGTATTTGTTCATTGAGGAAAAGAGAACAAGACGCCCGAACAGGGACTTGAACCCTGGACCCTCAGATTAAAAGTCTGATGCTCTACCGACTGAGCTATCCGGGCTCCCGTAGACAACAGCTTGTTCTGCCGTTTCTTACATAAGAATGAGGACCCTTGAGTGATTGCATCATCCACACTGTGAGACTGCTTTAACGCCAAGAAAGTTCGTGATTCGTGCGTAAAAGGAAAAACAGAAGGCCCAAATTCTGCGCCTTTCACCAGCATCACCAGCTAATTTAGAATTGCGAGATATTTATGCGCCTAGTAAGCATGATTAGGTAGGCTTTTTTTATTTGTAGTTAAATAGGTTCAGGATTAAAAGAATGGCGAGGTGTCACTTTTGAAGTGCTGTAATAACCTTCGATCTATTTTACCATTGATAACAGAATGGGCATCAGTGCTAAAACCTATCCAATAATAGAAAAAAATGAATCTGTCTAAGAGACTATGAATATGCTGTTCTGAAGCTATCGGGTTGCACTGTGCGGTATAAAGTGAGAGAAAGGAAGGATGGTGAGGTTATCCAATAGGTCGCCTGAAAGCATCCAAGTTGTTTTTTTGTTTTTGTTTTTGTTTTTTTTGAGACGGAGCCTCCCTCTGTCGCCCAGGCTGGCGTGCAATGGCACGATCTCTCGGCTCACTGCAACCTCCACCTCCCGGGTTCAAGCAATTCTCCTGCCTCAGCCTTCCGAGTAGCTGGGATTACAGGCGCCTGCCACCATGCCCAGCTAATTTTTGTATTTTTGGTAGAGACTGGGTTTCATCGTGTTGGCCAATCTGGTCTCGAATTCCTGACCTCCGGTGATTGGCCCGGCGCATCCAAGTAATTTTAAGGGGCGCAAACTCTGGAAGAGTTCACCAGCAGCGACCTTGGGGGTAGAAGCCCTACTAAGCTAGAGAGACAGGAAAACTGAACATGGCATTGAAGAGAGATTGTTTTGATCTTGGCATTGGAGGTTCTTCCCTTCCGTAGCCATCAGTAATTTGAGCACTGCCCTTTGCTATGGAGCTGGTGTTGAGAATGACCACGGTAGAGCTTTGAGAGTGGGACAGTAAAGGTCTTTGTTAGCTGATGTTACTTCACCTTAATTCCATCCTTAACCTCTTTCGGGGTGATTGCTCTGGTCCAGCAATTCCACTTTTAGGAATTTGTCCTGAAGAAATAATCAGAGGTGACGGGGCGCGGTGGCTCACGCCTGTAATGCCAGCACTTTGGGAGGCCCAGGAGGGCGGATCACGAGGTCAGGAGTTCGAGACCAACCTGATCGACATGGTGAAACCCCGTCTCTACTAAAAAATACAAAAAAGTTAGCCGGGCGTGGTGGCACACTCCTGTAATCCCATCTACTCAGGAGGCTGAGTCAGGAGAATCGCTTGAAGCTGGGAGGCGGAGGTTGCAGTGAGCCGAGATAACACCACTGCACTCCAGCCTGGGCGACAGGGAGAGACTCTGTCTCAAAAAAAAAAAAAAAAAAAAAAAAGAAGAATCAGGGGTGTACAAAAAGATCTGACTACAGGAGAGATCGTCACGGCATTTTAATCAGAAACGAGAAAAATAGCTACATAAATTATGGTACGGCCTTAATTATTATGCAGCTATTAATAATCATGTTTCGGAAGAATAGGATTTGGGAAAAAAATAGAAAACATTTTTAAGTTAGGAAACATTTCAAATCAATAGGGTTTTGTTTGTTTTGTATTTTCAAGAAAAGGGTGCATATATGTGCACTGAAAAACAAAGGATAAAAAAAGACAACAAACAAAGGATAAATGCTTATACAAAACCTGGGTTCTGAAGTTAGGTGCTCTATTTGAATCCTGACTACCATTGTGTAACCTTGAGCAAGCTATTTCTCTGTGTGTCAGGACAATAGGATGACTGTGAGATTTAAATAATATAGTATATAGACATTGTTTGCAATAGTGTCTGACATGTAATAAGCATTCATGGAGGCACATAAAGATTTAATGGCAAAGATGTAACAAGAACAGATCCTATGGATCCTGCTCTTTCAACCTTCTGTGACACCATTCACCTTTCAACAAAGAATTAACATATTTGATTGAAGTGGAACGAGATGTATAAAGCTGATTTTTAAGGCTGGGCACGGTATCCTAGCACTTTGGGAGGCCGAGATGGGAGGACTGCTTGAGGCCAGGAGTTCGAGAGCAGCCTAGACAACATAGCGAGACCTGCCCCCTCCTGCCGCCACCCTCCCCCCACATAATCAATCAATAAACTGGGCGTGGTGGCACCTGGCTGTGATTCCTGCTACTGGAGAGGCTGAGGTGGGAGGATCGCTCTTGCCCAGGAGTTCAAGATCAGCTTGGGCAATGTGGTGAAACTCCCTCTCTACAAAAAAATACAAAAATTAAAAACTAGCCGGGTGTGGTGGCGTGAGCCTATAGTTCCAGCTACTTAGGAGGCTGAGGTGGGAGAATCGCTTGGGCCCAGGAGGTGGAGACTGCAGTGAGCCAGGACGGAGTCACTGTGCTCCAGTCAGGGCACTGTATGTTGGATCTGCATGTTACAACATGCCCTAAGTGTGAAAAGCAAATCTTTCTAGCTGGCCCTAAGTGTGAAAAGCAAATCTTTCTAGCTGGCCCTTTGGACCCTTGAAAAAAGAAAAACAAATCTTTGGAACTTTTAGAAGAAAATATATGAGAGTATCTTTATGACCCAGAGATGGGGAAGAATCTCTTACATAATAAATTTTTAAAAAGCACAAAACATAAGAAAATTAACAAATTTTATTTCATTAAAAATTGTTAATCAAAGACAATGTTTAAAAAGTGAAAAGCTACATACGTGAAGTCATTATTTATAACATATATAACCAAGAAGGATTAATATCCAGATTATATGGAAAACTCCTACAAATCAATAAGTAAAAGACAAGCCTACCGTGGTGGCTCACGCCTATTATCCCAGCACTTTGGGAGGCCAAGGTGGGTGGATCACCTGAGGTCAGGAGATCAAGACCAACCTGGCTAACACAGTGAAACCCTGTCTCTACTAAAAATACAAAAAATTAGCCAGGCATGGTGGCGGGCACCTGTAGTACCAGCTACTTGGGAGGCTGAGGCAGAAGAATTGCTTGAACCCAGGAGGCAGAGGTTGCAGTGAGCCGAGATTGTGCCACTCCACTCTAGCCTGGGCGACAGAGCAAGACTCTGTCTCAAAAAAAAAAAAAAAGTAAAAGACAATCCCATAGAAAAATGGGCAAAAGGTCTGATTAGGCAATTCATATATAGGAACCTTAAGTCAGCGGGGTGTGGTGGCTCATGCCTGTAATTCTAGCACTTTGGGAAGCCAAGGCAGGCAGATCACAAGGTCAGGAGATTGAGACCATCCTGGCTAACACGGTGAAACCCCATCTCTACTAAAAATACAAAAAATTAGCCAGGCACCGTGGCGGGTGCCTGTAGTCCCAGCTGCTCAGGAGGCTGAGGCAGGAGAATGGCGTGAATTCAGGAGGCAGAGTTTGCAGTGAGCCGAGATCCCGCCACTGCACTCCAGCCTGGGTGACAGAGCGAGACTCTGTCTCAAAAAAAAAAAAAAAAAGGAACCTTAAGTCGATAAATATGAAAAAGTGCTCAACCTTACTAATAATCATGGACCTATAAAACAAACCACCATGAGAAACCATTTTGCATCTATCAGATTGTTTTTTATAATTTGAAAATGCCAAGTACTGGCAAACATATGCAAAGATAATTCTTTTTTTTGACAGAGTCTCACTCTGTCACCAGGCTGGAGTGCAGTGGCGGGATCTCAGCTCACTGCAACCTCCGCCTCCCGGGTTCAAGCGATTCTCTTGCCTCAGCCTCCCGAGTAGCTGGGACTACAGGCACTCACCACCATGCCCAGCTAATTTTTGTATTTTTAGTAGAGACAGGGTTTCACCGTGTTGGCCAGGCTGGTCTCAAACTCCTGACCTCAGGTGATCCGCCCGCCTCGGCCTCCCAAAGTGCTGGGATTACAGGCGTGAACCACTGCACCTGGCCAAGGTAATTCTTATACACATCTGTCAGGAGTGAGTATTTTTCTGTGATCACTTTGGAGAGCACTTTGGCATGGTCTAATAGGGTGGACAACATATATAGTCTGTGACTCAATCATTTCCTCTAGAGTACACACGGAGATAAGCATGAGAATGATAACAGCATTGTTTGCAACGGCAAACGATTGAATAATGCCTAAGTATTTATTAAAGGAGGAGATGAATAAAAATTGTGGTGCATCCGTTACTATTATGGGCTGAATGTGTCCCTCTCAAACATCATGTTGAACACCATCCCCAGTACTTCAGAATGGGAATGTATTTGGAGACAGGGCCTTTAAAGAGGTGATTAAGGTAAAATGAGGTCACATGGATGGGCCCAATATGATTAGTGTCCTCATAAGAAGAGGGGATTAGGATATAGACAACATACAGACAATGGGCAACCACACAAGGACACAGTGAAAAGACAGGCTGCACTCCAGCCTGGCAACAGAGGGGAACTCCACCTCAAAAACAAAACAAAACAAAACAAAGCAAAACAACCACAAACAAAAAATTAGCTGGGCATCCTGGTGGGTGCCACCTGTAGGATTACAAGATTATACCTATAATCCTAACACTTTGGGAGGCCAAGTGGGGAGGATCACTTGAGGCCAGGAGTTCAAGACCAGATTGGGCAACATAGTAAGACCCTGTGTCTATTTTTTTAAAAAAATTAGAAGATGAGCAATTACTCACAAATCAGTGTCAACCATGATAGGAAAAACTCTATTCTTCACCATGGCCTAGTCAACATATTTATCAAGCCAAGGAAAGAGGGCATCAGGAGAAACCTAACTTGCTAACAACTTGATCTTCAACTTCCAGCTTCCAGAACTATGAGAAAATAAATTTCTGTTTAAGCCATTCAGTGGTACTTTGTTATGGCAACTCTAGAAAACTAATACAATTACTATACAACAATTCATTATACATTTATACAATTCAGTATGTTACTGTAGAACAACGTTAAAACATTAAAAATGAATTAACCAGGGCCAGGTGCGGTGGCTCACACCTGTCATGCCAGCACTTTGGGAGGCTGAGGCGGGTGGATCACGAGGTCAAGAGTTTGAGACCAGCCTGGCCAACATGGTGAAACCCTGTCTCTACTAAGAATACAAAATATAGCTTGGCGTGGTGGCGCGTGCCTGTAATCCCATCTACTCCGGAGGCTGAGGCAGGAGAACTGCTTGAACCCTGGAGGTGGAGATTGCAGTGAGCCAAGATTGCGCCACTGCACTCCAGCCTGGGTGACGGAGCAAGACTCTGTCTCGAACAACAACAAAATTAAATTAACCATAACTACACGGTTTAACAGCACTGAACTTCACAATGCTGAGCAAAAATGTAAGTTGCAGTAGACCACATATAGTTTGATGCCATTTATAAAAATTTTAAAAGCATAAACAGATTTTTAAGGAATATATACACATATAAACTCTAAAAGTCTAAAGAAATGCATGGCAGGGGTACATACCAAATTCAAGATAGTGGTTCCCAGAGGATGAAGAAAGGAGATACCATAGAGGTGACTACAGGGAACTTCTTTGTATGTGTATTGTTCTTAGGAAGAGGAATGGGAAAAGGGACATCATATTCTTTTTTTTTTTTTTTTTGAGACAGAGTCTCACTATGTTTTCCAGGGTGGAGTGCAATGGCGCCATCTCAGCTCACTGCAACCTCCGCCTCCAGGGTTGGAGCGATTCTCCTGCCTCAGCCTCCCGAGTAGCTGGGATTACAGGCATGCACCACCACACCCGGCTAATTGTTTTGTATTTTTAGTAGAGATGGGGTTTTGCCATGTTGGGCAGGCTGGTCTTGAACTCCCGACCCCAGGTGATCCGTCCGCCTCAGCATCCCAAAGTGCTGGGATTACAGGCCTGAGCCACTGCGCCCAGCTGGGAGATCATATTCTTTATACCTTTTGATATGTATAAAGTCATTAATTATATTTTTTTTTCAGAAAGGCTATAGACCAATAATACTGACTTTTAATTTTTTTAAAACTAGAAGGGCCATAAGAAATGGCTGAATTCAGCCATTTTGTTTTACAGATTAGGGAACTGAAGACCGGAAACCTGTGTAACTTCTTCTGTTTTCTACAAATAGCTAGACTAGAACCCAGATTTCCTGTCTTTTTATTCGAATCAATGGTTTGTGAGCATAGTTCTTAAAGAAGGAAGTGGTGATCACTCAGTTGAGTTTTTAAGCCAATTTCCAATTTCATTTCTTTCTTTCATTTCTTCTTTTTTTTTTTTTTGAGATGGAGTCTTCCTCTGTCGCCCACGCTGGAGCGTAGTGGCACGCGCCTGTAATCCCAGCAATTTGGGAGGGTGAGGCAGGAGAATCGTTTGAATCTGGGAGGCGGAGAATGCAGCGAGCTGAGATCGTGCCACTGCACTCCAGCCTGGCAACAGAAGGGAACTCCGTCTCAAAAACAAAACAAAACAAAACAAAACAAAATAACCACACACATAGAATTAGCTGGGCGTGCTGGCGGGTGCCACCTGTAGGATTATAAGATTACACCTGTAATCCTAACACTTTGGGAGGCCAAGGTGTGGGGGAGGATCACTTGAGGCCAGGAGTTCAAGACCAGACTGGGCGACATAGTAAGACCCTGTGTCTATTTTTTTAAAAAAATTAGAAGATGAGCAATTACTCACAAATCAGTGTCAACCACGATGGGAAAAACTCTATTCTTCACCATGGCCTCGTCAACATATTTATCAACGTTTTGTTTTTTTTGATTGACTGAGATAGAGTCTGGCTCCATCACCCAGGCTAGAGTGCAGTGGAGCAATCTCGACTCACTGCAATCTCCTCCTCCGGGTTCAAGCAATTCTCCTCCCTCAGCCTCCCGAGTAGCTGGGATTATAGGCGCCTACCACTGCACCCGGCTAATCTTTTTTGTATCTTTAGACAGTGTTTTACCATGTTGGCCAGGCTAGTCTCGAACTTCTGACCTCACGTGATCCACCTGCCTCGACCTCCCAAAGTGCTGGGATTACAGGCATAAGCCACTGCGCCGGGCCCTCGAGATTTTAAATGAAGACGAATTAAAGATGTTGGTCAATATTTTGCCCAAATTGAAAAGGCTTATCTCTCTTAACCTAGAGGAGGTTAACTGCAGCTCATCAATCATTGCACTTACCACATTCTTTTTACCTGGACAGTCTGATTCCTCCACTAGACAGATTTCAGGTCTTGTTTTGGAATCCTCTAGATTGGTGCTTGGCACAAGTAGGATGCTCAGCTAATTAATTTTTTTTTTTTTTTTTTTTTTTTTTTTTTTGTAGAGATGGTGTTCTCGCTTTCTTGCCCAGGCTGGTCTTGAACTCCTGGGCTTAAACGATCCTCCCACCTTGGCCTCCCAAAGGGTTGGGATTACAGGTGTGAGCCACTGCACCTGGCCTCAACAAATACCTGTTGATCTCACACAAACTGAATTGCATGAACAGATCATATTCCAAGGCTCCAGGAGACATTAGGAAAGGATCCAAACTAACCAGATGCTATTTAAAAGTTACAAAAAAAAAATTCCTGTTGAAAGTTTTAAAAAATACTAATTGCACAAAAGGACAGGGGAAATAGTTGACAGTGGTTCACCTAAAAAAGCACCCTTGACCTTTTTTTTTTTTTTTTTGTGAGTGAGGTGGTTGCAGATTTCTATGAAAAAGAAGTTAATTCTTCAGCTCCTTAATGGAACCCTGGATCTCCCAGCTATGCAGGAGGTTATGCTAGAAGTAGAACAAAGCGGAATGTACAAATTTAAGGAAGGTTACTGCCCTGTGTTCTTTTGCATGGGTCTGTATCTAGCATTGGGAGCCAGGTTTTGTTGTTGCTTATTGGGAGAGATAAGAATGGTATATACACAAATAACTAAAAAAAAAATACGTGGTAAATGCTAAAAGACAGGTGCAAAGAACACTGAGATGGAGCTTTCTTGGGTTACACAGCCAGTTTTAATGTTTCCTAATATAGAAGAGCTTTCAACAAACCTCTCAGGCAGGCTGTCTTCAAATGACATTACTTCCCCCAAATACCTAATTTCATTTATTTCAGAACAACTCTAAATGTTAGAGGATTTTCTGAGCTTAAAAATACTGCCTTGTAATTTCTATTGGTTTTAGTTCTGCACTTTGGAGAAGAGAATAAGGCTCCGTTATTTCCAATATTATACTATTCAGTTATTTGAAGACAGCTTCCAATTTCTATGCTCAACCCTTTCCCTCTTTTTTTTTTTTTTTTTTTTTGAGATGCAGTTTCGCTCTTGTCGCCCAGGCTGGAGTGCAATGGCGCTATCTCGGCTCACTGCAACCTCCGCCACCCGGGTTCAAACGATTCTCCTGCCTCGGCCTCCTAAGTAGCTGGGATTACAGGTGACCGCCACCATGCCCCGCTAATTTTTTGTATTTTTAGTAGAAACGGGGGTTTCGCCATGTTGGGCAGGATGGTCTCGAACTGCTGACCTCAGGTGATCCGCCCGCCTCGGCCTCCCAAAGTGCGCTGGGATTACAGGGGAGAGCCACTGCGCCCGGCCTCCCTCGTTTATATGCAGGTTAAAAACTCCCTTGAGCCTTCAACTATTTCTTTTTCTTTTTTTTTTTTTTTTTTGAGGAGTTTCGCTCTTGTTGCCCAGGCTGGAATGGCGCTATCTCGGCTCACTGCAACCTCCGCCTCCCAAGTTCAAACGATTCTCCTGAGTAGCTGGGATTACAGGCATGCGCCACCACACCCGACTAATTTTGTATTTTTAGTAGAAACAGGGTTTCACCATATTGGTCAGACTGGTCTCGAACTCCTGACCTCAGGTGATCCGCCTGCCTTAGGCCTCCCAAAGTGCTGGGATTACAGGCGTGAGCCACAGCGGCTGGTGCTTTCAACTATTTATTTGACATGGCTTCAAGCTTCCTTGCCACCCTAGTGCCGCCATCGCTCCGTTTCCCTTCCCTACCACCCTTGGGGAGTAAGGGTGAGGACTGGGGAATGGCAGAGGAAGCGTAGTTTTTCCGAAGAGCTGAAGGCAGCCTGTGATTATGACCTTAGCTCTTCCTCTTCTCTGTTTTCTGATCTCCTAATACACGTCTGTAAATATCACAAGACCCTGCAAGTCCCTCACTTATTATCTCTTCAAATCTGACGACTTTCAACCGTTCGGGCCCCACGACTCTCTCCCCGGACTAGGATCTACTCTATGGTAGTGAGCTCAGCCTTTCTAGCTCTCTAGTCCTCCCATTGCTCCATCTATGGTTTCCGGAGGCCTCACCGGAAGCCCTCGTGTGAGGCCGTGTGGGAGGCCGGAAGTTGCGGCTTCATTACTCGCCATTTCAAAATGCTGCCGAGGCCCTAGGATCTGTGACTGCCACCCCTCCCCCCACCCGGGCTCGGCGGGGGAGCGACTCATGGAGCTGCCGTAAGGTGTGGCTCTTGGCCTTCGTCGGCGGGGTGCCGGGAGCGGGAGCTGGAGAGTGAGGAGCAGGCGGCCGTACCGCCAGTTGTGCGGGTAGCGGGCGGGAGGAGCTTGAGAGGTGGGTCGGGCGGCGTGGGGAAGGCCGCGCCAGGCGGAAGAAGGGCTCGGGGGGAGGGGAAGAGTTGTGGGATGAGGGCTCGCGGAAGATAAAAGTGGAGGTGGGGTGACGTGAAGTAACTTTGGCCAACAGGTGACAAACCTAAAGTCGACGTAGTTGGATTGAGTTTAACTGGACACAACATTTGAGGACTGTTGAGGCAATTTGGAGAAAGGAGGTGGGAGAGAGGGAACCGGGTAGAATGACATTGACGTGTCTTAAGTTTTTAAGTTAGTTTTTAGGTCTGCGGACAGTCTACCTTAGAGGCACTTGAGTGCTTGTTTGAAAATGCTTGTTTTGGCTTGGCGCGGTGGCTCACGCCTGTAATCCCAGCACTTCAGGAGGCCGAGGTGGGTGGATCTACCTGAGGACAGGAGTTCGAGACCAACCTGGCCAACCTGGTGAAACCCCGTCTCTAGTAAAAATACAAAAATATTAGATGTGTGTGGTGGCGCATGCCTGTAATCCTAGCTACTCGGGAGGCTGAGGCAGGAGAATCACTTGAATCCGTGGGCGGGGGTTGCAGTGAGTCGAGATCGCGCCACTGCACTCCAGCTTGGGCTACAGAGGGAGATTCCGTCTCAAAAAAAAAAAAAGAAAAAATGTTCGTTTTGGGGCCACACTGAAACCTACAGACAGTATCGAGATGGGGCTCAGAGAAATATATTTTAATGAGCACACCTCCCAGTGATTTTTGTATACCTTAAAGCTTGAAAACCACAGGTTTTTTTGGTTGTGTTTTTGTTTTGTTTTTGTTTTTTTTGAGTGGAGTTTCGCTCTTTTTGCCCAGGCTGGCGTGCAGTGGCGCGATCTTGGCTCACTGCAACTTCTGCCTCACGGGTTCAAGTGATTCTTCTGCCTCAGCCTCCCGGGTCGCTGGGATTACAGGTGTGCGCCACCACGCCTGGCTAATTTTGTGTTTTATTAGAGATGAGGTTTCACCAGGTTGGCCAGGCTGTTCTCGAACTCCAGACCTCAGGTGATCCGCCCACCTCGGCCTCCGAAAGTGTTGGGATTACAGGCGTGAGCCACCGTGCCCGGCCGAAAACCACAGTTTAAAAGCAACACCCGGAGAAAATGCTGCAGCTCTGTGCTGTTGGCACGTGGAACTAGTATCTGTCAAAGATACTTGGAACCTCTTGGTGTTAAGTATTACTGTATCTCAGTTTAGATTTAGTCTTCTCTCTCCTCATACATTTTTTTTTTAATAGATGGGATTTCGGCCAGGCCCAGTGGCTCACACCTTTAATCCCAGCACTTTGGGAGGCCAAGGGGGCAGGTTTGCTTGAGTCTCGGAGTTCGACACCAGCCTAGGCAACAAACTGAGCCCCATCTCTGCAAAAAATAAAAAAATCAGTGTCATAGAGCGAGCTTCCAGTCCCAGCTACCCAAGAGACTGAGGTGGGAGGATTGCTTGATCCCAGGAGGTAAAGGCTGCAGCAAGCCGGGATGGAGCTACTGCACTCTAGCTTAGGCGACAGCGCGAGAGCCTGTCTCAAAAAAAGAGATGAGGTCTCACTGTGTGCTCAGGCTGCAGTGCAGTGGCTATTCACAGGTGTGATCATTGCACACTACAGCCTGAAACTCCTGGACTCTAGGGATCCTCCTGCCTCAGCCCTCCGGAATAGCTGGGACTACAGGCACAGGCCACCGGCTGCAGTTGGTTTTTTAAGATTCTATAACAATCGTTAATCTTTAATTAAAGATTTAATCTTCCCAGTTTAATCTTCCCACTTTAATCTTCCCTGCCGTCCCAGGTCCTGTAGAACACCTACGTTCTGGATTTGACTTATTAACTGCTTGCTCTCCATTTTCCCTAGTAACTTGCAGTTAGTAGGTAGGTCTAGATTTGGATTATTTATCTTTTGGTCAGGAATACTTAATAGGTGTTGTGCTAGTTTCTTGTTGCTTCATAATCAAGTAGTATATGGTGTGTGAATGACCCTCTTTTAGTGATAAGGTTGGGGATGGTGGAATGGTCAGCCTACTCCACGTGTTTTCTTTCCACCCCAACCTTTCACTCAGATGGCTTTAGCATCCCCTACCCCTGCCACTGGAGTGAAGTGGTATGATCTTGGCTCACTGCAACCTCTGCCTTCTGGGTTCAAGCTATTCTTCTGCCGCAGCCACGCAAGTAGCTGGATTACAGGCGTTGTGCCACCACGCCCAGCTAATTTTTGTATTTTCAGTAGAGAGAGGTTTTCATTATGTTGGCCAGGCTGGTCTTGAACTCCTGGCCTCAATCTGCCTGCCTTGGCCTCCCAAAGTGCTGGGATTACAGGTGTGAGCCACTGCTTCTGGCCTGGAATCTCGTGATGACTGTTGAAGAGGTGACATTTAACCTGAGACTTGAAGGTTTAGGATGAATCAGTTTTGTACAAAACTCACAGTGCTCCAAATGAAGGGACGATTTGTGCAAAGGCCCTGTTTGAGAAACTAAAAGATCAGGGTGGCTGAGGCTCAAGATACGACTAAACAGTGCAAGATAAGAGTGAAAATGTGCTGAGGGGATAGACCACGTGTTTATCTTTACAGCAATAGCAAGCTGTTGAGCAGGGCCTGACACTATAGGATTTTTTTACTTTTTAAAATGCTTTTGGCAGGCTGGGCCAAGGTGGGCGGATCACCTGGTTGGGAGTTCGAGACCAGCCTGACCAACAAAAAGAAACCGCGTCTCTACTAAAAATATAAAGTTAAAGTTAGCTGGGCGTGATGGTGCATGCCTGTAATCCTAGCTACTCGGGAGGCTGAGGCAGGAGAATCGTTTGAACCCAGGAGGTGGAGGTTGCGGTGGACCAGGATCGCTCCATTGCACTCCAACCTGGGCAACAAGAGCGAAACTCCGTCTCAAAAAATATATGTATATGAAAAAGAAAAATACAGTGGTTGGATTAAAGAACATTGGCCTGGCATGGTGGCTCATGCCTGTAATCCCAGCACTTTGGGAGGCTGAAAAGGATTGCTTTAGCTCAGAATTTGAGACTAGCCTGGGGAACATTAAAAAAACTAGCTGGATTAGGTGGTACACGCCTGTAGTCCCAGCTACTCCAGAGGCTAAGGTGGGAGGCTTGCTTGAGCTGGGGAGGTTGAGGTTGCAGTAAGCCATGATCACGGCACTGCAGTCCAGCCTGGGCGACAGAGTGAGACCTTGTCTCAAAACATCTATATCTATTCTGTAATTTATTCCATCTGTAATGTTATGGAATCACAGATGGAATAAATAACAGAACGGATACAACTGAGGAATGAATTAGAATTCTAGAAGGAGAAAATCTAGAACAAAGAAAGAGAAAAATATAAACGAAAAACTAAGAGATAAGAAAGAACTACCATTTTAGGCTGGGCGCGGTGGCTTATGCCTGTAATCCCAGCACTTTGGGAGGCCGAGGCGGGCGGATCACGAGGTCAGGAGATCGAGACCATCCTGGCTAACATGGTGAAACCCCGTCTCTACTAAAAATACAAAAAATTAGCCAGGCGAGGTGGTGGACGCCTGTAGTCCCAGCTACGCGGGAGGCTGAGGCAGAAGAATGGCATGAACCCCGGGGGGTGGAGCCTGCAGTGAGGGGAGATCTCGCCACTGCACTCCAGCCTGTGCGACAGAGCGAGACTCCATCTCAAAAAAAAAAAAAAAAAAATGAATTTTGATATGACAGTAGGAATTAATCTATGTTAGTGGAACAAAATTTCCCAAATTACATGCAACATCCCTGCTTTTTTTTTTTTTTAATAATTAAGAGCAACTAAACTAAAAATACTTTTTAGGAATCCATTTTGATGCAGTAAAATGTATAAAAAGGAAAGCAAGGGAAATGAAAACAATAGGGTTCAGGATGATTATTATTGCAGGAAGGCAGCAAAATGGGATGGGGGATATTATCGTTAAATATAGGTTATGATCAGAGTCTTAGTTTGTGGAAGATTATTGCGTTAAAAATAATCCAGGCCAGGTGTGGTGGCTCATGCCTGTAATCCCAACACTTTCGTTGAGAGAATCACTTGAGGCCAAGAGTTTGAGACTAGCCTGGGCAACATAGCAAAATCCTGTCTCTACAAAAAATAAAAAAATTAGCCAGGAATGGTGGCGCATGCCTGTAGTCCCAGATAATCAGGAGACTGAGGTGGGAGGATTACTTGAGCCCAGGAGGTCGAGGTGGCAGTGAGCTATGTTTGTGCCACTGTACTCCAGCCTGGGTGACAGAACAATACCCTGTCTCAAAAAAATTATGAAAATAAAAAGGTAAAAATAAGTAAAATGGGCCATGTGTGGATGAATAATCAGCATATGTCTTGAATAAAAGAGTTATGATTAATTCTGTGTACTTGAGGTCTAATGGGAAAAAATGCTGCTAAACGGGGATGTTAGTGCTTGTCTGAGTTTGAAATCTTGACTCCAACAACTTACTCATTGGGTGATCTTGGACAAATAACTTCTGTTTCTCTTTCCTGATCTGTAAAATAAGGATAATAGCTACATAATAGGGCTGTTTTGGTATTAAATGGGTTTATATGTATGCCTGGTACATAATAGGCTTGATGAGTCCTTACCATTTGTTTCAATTATCTAATGCTATGGAATAAACCACCCCAAAACTTAGTGAGTTGAAACAGTCATTTTATTTATTTTTCATTCAGTGGGATGATAGGCTGAGTTGGATAGTTCTTGTGGTTTTGTGGTTTGTCATGCAGCTGTTAAGTCAGGTGCAGCTGAGGCTGGAACGTGTGTGATGCTTTGTTTTGTTTTCTTTCTTTTTTTTAAGGACACCTCGAGACCGTTGAGTAAGTGCTTTGTTGTAGTCAGGTGGCAACTGGGGCTGGAAGATGTGTGGTGCTTTGGAGGGTATGGCTAAGAGTCTGGGCTCAGCTGGGCAACTGCACCTCCCTCTCCTTGTAGCCTTTTTGTGTAGTCTCCAGTAGAGTAGCCAGATTTCAAGCACCTCCAAAAGTACAAAACATGAGCCTGCCAGGCCTGGAATTGTCACATTATCACCTGCTGCATTCTATTTATTAAGTCATAGGGCCAGTTAGGGAGCGTGGTTCATTGGGAGCCATTTTTGGAAACGGTCTGCACATTATAATTAATGTTTCTATCTACCATGTTGCTCTACCATGTATGTAGTTGTCAGATTTAGACACTGGAAATGTATAAATAGACAGTTACAAATTCCTGTCCACTTGTAGCTTATATTTTACATAATAAATAATTAAAATATGTAGTGTTTTGGTTGGTAAAAAGGTTGGTAGGGAAAAATAAAGCAGGGAAGGAGATAGGGAATACAAGCGGTTGGGAGTTTTAGTTTTAAAAATGGGTGTTCATATGAGGCCTTGTTGACAAACTGTCATTTGAGCATAGACAAAAAGAAGGATAAGAATTAGAGGGCAGGCTAGGAGTGGTGGCCCATGCCTGTAATCCCAGGGATTACAGCACTTTGGGAGGCTGAAGCAGGAGGATCACTTGAGCCCAGGAGTTTGAGACCAGCCTGGGCAACATAGCAAGACCCCGTCTCTACAAAAAATAAATTAGCTGGGCATGGTGGCATGCACCTGTAGTCCCAACTACTTGGGAGGCTGAGGTGGGAGGACTGCTTGAGCCCAGGAGGTTGAAAGGCTGCAGTGAGCTGTGATTGTGCCACTGCACTCCAGCCTGAGTGACAGAGTGAGACTCCATCACACACACACAAAAAAAGCAAATGAGGAAGTAGGTGATGAGATCAATAGCCACCCATTAAAAGCCAGGTTTTAAATTTTTTTTTTTTTTTTGAAACAATCTTGCTCTGTCACCAGGCTGTAGTGCAGTGGCACGATCTCGGCTCACTGCAACCTCCGCTTCCCAAGTTCAGGCGATTCTCCTGTCTCAGCCTCCCGAGTAGTTGGGACTACAGGCGTGTGCCACCACACCTGGCTAATTTTTGTATTTTTAGTAGAGACGGTTTCACCATTTTGGCCAGGATAGTCTTGATCTCTTGACCTCATGATCTGCCTGCCTCATCTGGGGAGTACAATCCCAAAGTGCTGAGATTATAGGCGTGAGCCACCATGCCTGGCCCACTTCTGAATTTTAAATTGTGCTTGTTTCCTATTTGACTTATTTTATAGCAAAGTAAGGTAATGGGAGAGGGAGGAATTTATACTTGATTACAGCTATAAGCCTTTTCAGAAGCATGAGGGATCTTGTTATCTTCAGCCAGTGTATTTACTGATTGTCTTTTTTTTTTTTTTTTGAGATGGAGTTTCACTCTTGTAACCCAGGTTGGAGTGCAATGGTGCGATCTCAGCTCACTGCAACCTCCGCCTCCCAGGTTCAAGTGATTCTCCTGCCTCAGCCTCCTGAGTAGCTGGGATTACATGCATGTGCCACCACGCTCGCCTAATTTTTGGAGCTTTAGTAGAGACGGGGTTTCACCATGTTGGCCAGGCTGGTGTTGAACTCCTGACCTCAGGTGATCCACCTTCCTCAGCCTCCCAAAGTGCTGGGATTACAGGCATGGGCCAGCGTGCCCGGCTGATAGTCTTAAAAAAATTTTTTTTTGTCCAGACGTGGTGGCTCATGCCTGTAATCCCAGCACTTTGGGAGGCTGAGGCAGGCGGATCACGAGGTCAGGAGATCAAGACCATCCTGGCTAACATGGTGAAACCCCGTCTCTACTAAATACACAAAATTAGCTGGGCGTGGTGGTGGGCGCCTGTAGTCCCAGCTACTCGGGAGGCTGAGGCAGGAGAATGGTGTGAACCCAGGAGGCGGAGCTTGCAGTGAGCCGAGATCATGCCACTGCACTCCAGCCTGGGCGACAGAGCGAGACTCCACCTAAAAAAAATTTTTTTTTTTTTTTTTTTTTTTTTTTTGCGACAGGGTATCGCTTTGTCACCCAGGCTGGAGTGCAGTGGCACAGTCTTGGCTCACTGCAACCTCCACCTTGCCAGTTCAGGTGATTCTCATGCCTCAGCTTCCTTAGTAGTTGGGACTGCAGGCTCGTGCCATGCCCAGCTAGTTGTTGTATTTTTAGTAGAGACAGGGTTTTGCCCTGTTGCCTAGTCTGGCCTCTGTTAGAAATAAATTTTCGAAGCTGCAAATGAATATCACTCAAACATAAATTTAATTTTCTCAGCAAGGCAATTTTACTTCTATGGAAGGGTGCATCTCACGGATGGAGCAATGGTGAGAGCACACCTGAACAAGGGAGGGGAAGGGGTTCTTATCCCTGACGCAGGTAGCCCCTACTTCTGTGTTGTTCCCGTATTGGCTAGGGTTGGACCGCACAGTCTAAGCTAATACTGATGGGCTATTTTAAAGAGAGCAGGGGTATGAGCTGGAGTGGCTGGGCGAGTAGTATGGCGGGAAGAACAGTTACAGAACAGGTGACTCAGGATGACTCAGGTCAAGGGAGGTGACCAGGAGTGACTCAGGATGGAGCAGGTGATAGAAGCTAGGAGGGGGTTGTTTACTGAAACGAGGGGCAAGGAGATGAAGAGAATGAGGAAGTTAAACTTTTAAAGTTTTAAATGAAGAACAAAGAACAGGGGAGCTGAACATACAGATACATTGGTTTTTTGGAGAGCATCTCAGAACTCATTGTACTTAACAATTTACAGGCTAAAACCTTTGAAGAGGAATTTATTAAATCCTACATCTCAAACTCCTGACCTCAGGTGATCTGCCCATCTTAGTCTCCCAAACTGTTAGGATTACAGGCGTGAGCCACTGCACCTGGCCTATTCTAGTCGCCATTTACCCTTTCCCTGATGTGGCTTGTTAGTCATCAGTTTTAATAATTGTTGCCTTTTGTTAGAAAAAGGCATAAATGAAGGTTAACTTAAGTTTATTTAAAAATCTATTTTCCGGCTGGGCATGGTGGCTCACGCCTGTAATCCCAGCACTTTGGGAGGCTGAGGTGGGCGGATCACGAGGTCAGGAATTTGAGACCAGCCTGACCAACAGGGTGAAACCCCGTCTCTACTAAAAATACAATAATGAGCTGGGCGTGGTGGCGTGTGCCTGTAATCCCAGCTACTCAGGAGGCTGAGGCAGGAGAATCGCTTGAACCTGGGAAGCAGAGGTTACAGTGAGCCGAGATTGCGCCATTGCGCTTCAGCCTGGGGGACAGCGAGACTGTGTCTCAAAATAAATAAATAAATAAACAATCTATCTTCCTTCTCTGTAGCTTTTGTTTTTTTAAGGATAAAAGGTAGGTGAAAGATTTTCATTGAACTTTACTCTGTATTTCACTTCATGCTACATCTTTTCTTTGATGGTATATGTCCATCTCGGTTTAACCCATTTTGTAGGTTTGTAATTGCTGTGTTTTTTTCTGGGGTTGGTACATTTACAAGCTGTTTTAACTGGTACTTA
This sequence comes from Homo sapiens, assembly GCF_000001405.40. Taxonomy (NCBI): domain Eukaryota; kingdom Metazoa; phylum Chordata; class Mammalia; order Primates; family Hominidae; genus Homo; species Homo sapiens. Next base: position 204,525,006 of record NC_000001.11, read on the forward strand.
AAATGTTGACTCTTAGTTAACTTTCTATGGTCCTTTGTCAAGACATGTTCCAACATGTTGTAGAGGTTTTCCTAGAAGTCCTGTTGGAATCTTAAAACCTGTGACTTACCTTGGTAAATCCCCAGTCTTGCATCTAGAGAGTGCTCTACCTGATAACCATTGGGGAGATAATGATTTGACTTTCAGCTAAAACAGTTTACTGATTAACATCAGTTGGAGGTTGGAGCGTGCCTGAAACTGTTACTGTTTCAGCCTTCACCTGAGAGAAGCTTGGACGATTCTTACTCTTAATTAAATCAGAACTAGAAAGTAGTCAGAAGATATGCAGAACCTCAGCAAGGGTATACAGCATTTGTGTACGGTGCTCCATTATATGTGTCATATGTGTCTTTTACTTCTGCTGGTTGCCTTTGTGTGAATGCTAAATAGGGAATTTTCTGCATTAGAATAGATGTTATAAATTTTTTTTTCTATTTAGTTTTACCAACAGACTGCAGTTTCTTCACTACCAAAATGACATCATTTTCCACCTCTGCTCAGTGTTCAACATCTGACAGTGCTTGCAGGATCTCTCCTGGACAAATCAATCAGGTAAATCATTTTCGGTATTTCTAGTTTTTTGGTTTTTTTTTTTTTTAATTTTTAAAAAGTTTAGCTGTCTCATGACTGTAATCCCAGCACTTTGAGAAGTCAAGGCAGGAAGCTTACTTGAAGCCAGGTGTTTGAGACCAGCCTTGGCAACATAGTGAGACCTGTATCTCTACAAAACATTTCTAAAAGAAAAAATTAGCTAGATGCAGTGGGGTGTGCCTTTAGTTCTAGCTACTTGGGAGCCTGAGGCGGGATATCACTTGAGCCCAGGAGTTCAAAGCTGCAGTGAATTATGATCACAACCAGTGCACCCCAGGCTGGGCAAGAGAGTGAGACCTTGTCTCTTTTTTAAAAAAAGTAGGGGAGGTGGGGGTTGTGCTGGGCGAGGTGGGTCATGCCTATAATCCCAGCACTTCGGGAGGCGGAGGTAGGCAGGTCTCTTGAGCCCAGGGGTTTGAGAACAGCCAGGGAAACATGGTGAAACCCCCTCTCTACAAAAAAATACAAAAATTACCTGGATATGGTGGCGTGCACCTGTAGTCCCAGCTACTCTGGAGGCTGAAGTGGGAGGATCAGTTGAGTCTGGGAGGTTGAGGCTGCAGTGACCTGTGATCACACCACTGCACTCCAGCCAAGGCGACAGAGCAAGACCTTGCCTCAAAAAACAAAAGCGGGGGGAGCTGTTTAAAGAGGTTCTCTTGTTCCATAGTTTCAGAAACCTACTTGAAATGTAAATAGCACATTTATTTTATGTTTATATCAGGTACGACCAAAACTGCCGCTTTTGAAGATTTTGCATGCAGCAGGTGCGCAAGGTGAAATGTTCACTGTTAAAGAGGTAAGCCATCAAATAAAATTCTCATTTTTTTTGTTTTTTTTTTTTTTGAGATGGAGTCTCCCTCTTTTGCCCAGGCTGGAGTGCAGTGGTGCGATCTCAGATCACTGCAAGCTCCGCCTCCTGGGTTCACGCCATTCTCCTGCCTCAGCCTCCCGAGTAGCTGGGATTACAGGTGCCTGCTGCCACGCCCGGCTAATTTTTTGTATTTTTAGTAGAGATGGGGTTTCACCGTGTTAGCCAGGATGGTCTCAGTCTCCTGACCTCATGATCCATCCGCCTTGGCCTCCCAAAGTGCTGGGATTACAGGCATGAGCCACCGCGCCTGGCCAAATTCTCAGTTTTAAGAACAGTTGAGAAGTAGAAGCCAGTGAATATGTAGTTTTGAAATCAGGCCTAAGAAAGGAAGTTCTACTCCTGAGGTATCAGAGGGGCAACTTATACTCTGTTTTAAAGACTGTTAGGTTGAACATCATATTTCCTTTCTTTTGAAGTGTGTTATAAGATAAACATAAGATGAACCATGAATTCATTGATCGTAGAGTTAAAATGCAGAGCAAGTAAAGATTAAAAAGACACTGGGCCTGGCACCATAGCTCACGCCTGCAATCCCAGTATTTTGGGAGGCTGAGGTGGAGGGATTGCATGAACCCAGGATTTTGAGACCAGCCTGGGCAACATGATGAAACCCTGTCTCTAAAAAAAAAAAAAAAAATACAAAAATTGGGCGGGCATGGTGGTCTGCTCGTTTAGTCCCAGCAGCTACATGGGAGGCTGAAGTGGGAGGATCGCTTGAACCCAGAAGGTGAAGGTTGCAATGAGGTGCACTCCAGCTTGGTTGATAGAATGAGAGACCCTGTCTCAGAAAAAAAAGACACTGTCTGATTTACAGGCTGTATTTTGAGGCAGGAATTAAATGCAGTAGTTTTTATTATAAATGTGTCAGATATGGTGGCTCACGCCTGTAATCCCAGCACTTTGCGAGGCTGAGGTGGGCAGATCACCTGAGGTCAGGAGTTCGAGACCAGCCTGACCAACATGGAGAAACCCCATCTCTACTAAAAATACAAAACTAGCTTGGCATGGTTGTAATCCCAGCTACTTGGGAGGCTGAGGCAGGAGAATTTCTTGAACCTGGGAGGCGGAGGTTGCGGTGAGCCAAGATTGTGCCATTGAACTCCATCCTGGGCAACAAGAGTGAAACTCCATCTCAAAAAAAAAAAAAAAAGTGTCAGACACTCTTCTGAGCACTGTGAGTTATTTTAAACACATGCATTTAAATAACTTATTTAGCTTCTGAAGTTTTTTAAAAAACAATTTGTATTCTTTAAGTGGAAAAGACTCAGTATTAAAATGTTAATGTTGGGAACTGCTTTCATTTGGTGGGGTAGATATCTAACCCTTCCTAAAGAGAAGAAACAAAATTATCAGGCTTTTTTTTTTTTCGAACTTAAAACCTTCACACCTATCAACACTGCCACACTCCAGAACCATTACACTTCTCAAGGAGACAAATCTGGAGGCATTTCTGATTTTTTAGAATACCTATATTACTTTTACGATTTTAAATTAAGCACATCGTTTTGGAGTATAAAATTTGACACGTAAGACCTTTTTTTCCCCAAACTTATTAAAGTCTGGAATTTTTTTTTTTTTTTTTTAGTTTTATCCTTTTATTGAAGCTTACAATTTCACTGAACTTTTGGCCCCAAATGAAAAAAATGCAAATTAAAAAAAGTATTGGCAAGGAGAGGTGACCACTGTCCCCTGGAGATGGAAGCCGAGCAGAGCGTGGCAGGCAAGTGAGGGATCCCAGCTGCGGAGGCAGTAGCCTGGCCAAAGATGCCCAGGGAACAGATTTGTCTGAGCAGGGCCAGCCCCAGGCAGCTAGAAGTTAATACCCAAGGATTTATGGGTGTGATGGAATCCAAGCCACTGGTCCCAGGGGCAAATCTCTCTCATGCTTGGTCAGATTCCACTTTGGAGAAAATGGGCTCATGTGACAGGATGGCCTGGTGAGGGAACACAGGTGCTAATGGTAACAGGCCAGTGAACACTCGCCACTGGCATCAGGGTGGAGCTCAGCTGACTGGACACTAACTCCATTACAAGGACCAGAATCTCCTGCGTCTGGTGCCAGGCTGTGCCACTCAACTGCTCATGGCCGTCGGGACATTCAGCTTTCATCCTCTCCTTCATCAGGCCCCTACCTGTGTGGCCTCAGCCCTGGTCCTCACTATTTGGTGGCTGTGATGCAGGACTCTCAACCCTCTTTTGGAACAGTGTTGCATCAAGCAAGGGAGAATGTTCTTCTAGAGGGACAGGAAAAGAAGAGAGAGGTCCACGTACTTCTGTCACTCTAGGAAGCCAGGAAAGGTCCCTGGTGCACTCCACTCTCCACAGATGGGTTGGGTCATAGCATCCGAGCTGTCATGGTGACGACGTCCTTGAAGCTGAGCCGAATGTTGCCTTGTACAGCTGTGTCCTTCTCCCGGAAGGCCTCTGTCGGCATCTGCAGCTGGGTGCACACCTGGATGAAGCAATCAAGCTGTCTGGCAGGATTGACAGAGCGTGGGCAGTAGCTGGAGACCAGTAGCTGGGTGAACTGGGGGCTCAGGTTGTAGCCCATTTGGGACAGAGCTTGCTGCAGCTCTGTGTAGCTAATGGAGCCTGAGTTGTCCCAGTCATAACTGCTGGAAGAGCTGCTTCCACTGCTGGATGAATTTCCACAGGGCTGAGAAGCCGTAGACATTTATGTGGCCTGATTAGGTCTTGTCAAACATGTTTATCATCATGAGGCAGGTCTCATCATTGAACAAGGACCAGTTGCAGTTGACCAGAGCCTGCTTCACCTCCTTCATGGAGATAAAGCCACTGTGATCAGAGTCACCGACTGGAACCAGGAGTAGGCCTCATCCATATTGGGAGGGGAGCCACCCTGTCCATGAGGCCTGGGCTGCTGGGCACCGTAGGAATTTGGAGGTGGCTGACCATAGGGGCCCCCTGGAGCTGTACCATCATTTGGTCCTCCTGGAGTTCCAGAGGGGAACATCCCAGGATTGAGGTGTCCATAGGGCCCTCTACCAGCTGGTGGTCCATAAGGCCCTCCAGGGGCAGGACCCCCATAGCCACCACCAGGGGGTAGCACGCTGCCATACTGCCCTCCACTACTGGGGGGGGTCCAAGGTAGTAGCTACCCGGAGGGGTTCCTGGCGCTTGCCCTGCATCTCCAGGGCAGCCCCGCCCATACAGATAGCTGGCTGTGGCAATTCTGACGTCACACACAGGCAAGGGGTAAAGTCTGGATTTTTATATCATTATAGTGGTTATGATGAATTATGCCATCTCCTTCATTTAGCATGGCAGAGTTTGCCTGAGTTTACACGATGAGCTTTCTGTTATGAACCTTGACTCTATCTATTGCATAAAGGGAATTTCCTGATTTTTATTATTTATTTATTTAGAGCCAGGGTCTTACTCTGTCACCCATGCTGGAATGCAGTGGTGGTATCTCAGCTCACTGCAACCTCCGCTTCCCAGGTTCAAGTGATCCTCCCGCCTCAGCCTTCCTAGTAGCTGGGACTACAAGCGTGCCTCACCACACCTGGCTAAGTTTTGTATGTTATGTAGAGACAGGTTTTGCCATGTTGCCCAGGCTGGTATCAAACTCCTGGGTTCAAGCAATTTGCCTGCCTTGGCCTCCCAAAGTGCTGGGATTACAGGTGTGAACCACTTCAGCCGACTAAATTTTTATTTGATAAACACTTGGATTTTATGTTTTGTCCACTTACAATGCTGATGGCTCTTATTAAACATTGTACTTCATTTGCCAAAAAGAATTATTATGTGAACACATATCAAAAGCCTAAAGTCGTTTATGTGCCCTGGACTGGGAAAATATTTTTATAATCCAGGCAAATTACTTCTAGTAATAGAATAGACTTCTTTATTTGGACGTCTGAGAAAATTTTTAAGAGGATACTAGGTAAATTCACTGCTTTTTCTCATTGTCAGATCAGTTCATTTCTGTGCTGAAAAGTCTGGGTCTGTTAATTGTCAGAAAGACAATGAGTAGATGGACCTAGTAGTTGGGAGCGGCTTTCCTGTTGTAGGACCCCTTACACAAACTTTGACAGTCTTGTAAATATGTTATTTCTTTCTTTAGCAAACTAACTTACCTTACCTCCTCTAATGAATTTGTGTTTTTGGTAGCAGCTGGACAGATCACAACATGGTATTTTATTCCATGCAGGTCATGCACTATTTAGGTCAGTACATAATGGTGAAGCAACTTTATGATCAGCAGGAGCAGCATATGGTATATTGTGGTGGAGATCTTTTGGGAGAACTACTGGGACGTCAGAGCTTCTCCGTGAAAGACCCAAGGTAAAAACAGTGAGGGCTTGCGTATCTTTTTGGGTGCTTATACCTAGCCACTTAATTTCTATGGGTTATTAATATTTATTACTTCACTCAACAAATATGTAAGAGCCTACATATGTTAGGTAGCCTATGAGGCACTGAGAATATGGTAATGAGCGACACACAGTCTGATTTTATGGAGTATACAGAGTAGTGAGTCAGTAGATGCTCTTGCCCATCTTAGTCAAATAATCACACTAATTCATGGTAAACCTACACTATGGCAAGTGCTACAGAAAAGAGATACATGAAGCAGGGAGTGGGTGGGATTTAGAGTGTTAGAGGTCAAGAAAATGTTCTTTTGAGGAAGTGAAATTTCAGCCAAAAGCTGAAAGATAGATAATTAAGTAGTCAATCAGAGAGTTTGAGGTTGATTGAACACCATGTGTAAAGGCCTGGGTAGGAGGAAGCTTGATGTGACTAGGTTAGAATTTTGTGAAATAATTGTTGGAGAGGGAGGAAGAGTGAGCAGATGAGAGAAATGTAGAATTGCTGGGCAGTTAGAGGTTGATGATGAGCCTGGTAAGAATCACAGTAGGGCTAACCTGACCTGTTACTTTTCTCCAGCTGCATGGGGTGTAAGTTATTAGCTTATATAGTCAAAAGCTAATTAGTAATTTAGAAGCTCTCTTTCTCTATAGCTTTGATGACTGCTGCTTCTGAGCTCATTCTGTCTTACACTAAGACTTCCCTTAGCTGGGTGTGGTGGCTCAAGCCTGTAATTCCAGCACTTTGGGAGGCTGAGGTGGGTGGATCACCTGACTTCAGGAGTTCAAGACCAGCCTGGCCAACATAAGTGAAACGCCGTCTCTACTAAAAATACAAAAAATTAGCTGGGCGTGGTGGCGGGCGCCTATAATCCTAGCTAGTAGGGAGGCTGAGGCAGGAGAATTGCCTGAGTCCGGGAGGCAGAGATTGCAGTGAGCTGAGATTGTGCCATGGCACTCCAGCCTGGGCAATAATAGCAAAACTCCGTCTCCAAAAAAAAAAGACTCCCCTCCACCCCCACTTTCCAATTACAATGTGAAACTTCAGTCCTGGAAGGAAGGAATAGTTTCCAAAAGAGATTTCCCCACTTGGATTACTGTTCGCTAATGAAATAAAATGTAAATTAATCAGTTTTTTAATGGGGGCAGAGTAACACAGGGGCCTGGGCATTAACATCTTAATATTTAAATAATTAAAAACTGTTCTGGGAAAAAGATTCTGCCTTTGTATGCCTTACAGAGAGACTTGGGAGATAACATCAGAAATACATTTAATATTTAACGGCAAACCACTGATATCTTCATAGTGGCATTTGGGGTTGTTAATTTTTTATCTTCTCTCTTTAACAGCCCTCTCTATGATATGCTAAGAAAGAATCTTGTCACTTTAGCCACTGCTACTACAGGTATGTCACATCATATTTCTTCAGTCTGTATCACAGCTTTGAGTTCAAGGGGGCAAATGATGGGAAAACAAAGAAGATGAAGGTGGAAATGGAATGCTATCTTTGGCATGACTGGGAGAAATACATACTACCTGTCACACAGAATGTTATGTTATTAACTTTTTACTGAAAAATCAAACATAGAGTAGAAGGATTTCCACTTTCTAGACGTACTGTTAACGTTTTGTCATATTGCTTCATCTAGACACACTTTTAAAAATCTCTAGCAGATAAGGACTTTTTTCTCCAAACATTCAATATCATTATTACACATAACAAATTTAACATGTAATTCCATAATCCTATTTCATAGCCAGTTTATGTATCATTTCCCCCAGTTATCTCAAAAATACCTTGTATTTTTGTCTTACTTGAATTAGGATCCAAAGTCCACACATTGCCTTTGGTTGATATGTCTCATAAGTGTCTTTAATCTATAAAACTTAACTTTCCTTTTGTTTTCATGTCATTTACGTGTTGAAGAAATGGGTCATTTGTTCTGTAGAATTTCCCACGCTCTAGAGTTGGCAGATTGTATCCTTGTGATTTTGTTTAATGTGTTTCTTTACCCTCTCTATTTTTGGTAAACTGGTAGTGCTTGAATAAATTCAAGTTTAAATTTTTTGCCAAGAAAGCTTTATAGGTAATGCTTTGTACTTCTGTTTAATCACATCAGAGTCATGTAAGGTCTGCCTGTCTATTTTAGTCAGTCATGTTAATAATCTGTGGGCTCAGGTGGTATCAGTCTGATCCATCTGTTACACAGGTCACTCAAGAACCTTTTACCTAATGGCTTTAGCCATCTCTTATCTGAATGCCAATTTGTCTAACCCTTTGCTTGATTCTAGACCTTCTAAATACTGCTCTTTAACTATTAGGTATGTATAGGAAACTGGCTGTACTGGAGTCTGGAGTCTCCAAAATGGTGGTCTGTAAGAGATAGGTAAATAAACTGGACAGACTGAACATAGCCATTTCCAAATAATGAAACTTTTTCCCTCTCCACTACTACATAAAGCCCTTTTGTGAGCTTCATATTAACATTGCCCTTTGAAGAAAGCCCAAGTTAGTAATCTTTTTAGATTGACCATCTTTTTTTCTTCTCAGGTTGCCCAGGCTGGAGTGCAGTGGCACTATCTCAGCTCACTGCAGCCTGGACCTCTCGGGCTCAGGTGATTCTCCCACCTCAGCCTCCCGAGTAGCTGGGATTATAGGCACATGCCACCATGCCTGGCTAATTTTTTGTATTTTTAGTAGAGACAGGGTTTTGCTGTGTTGCTCAGGCTGATCTTGAGCTCCTGGACTCAAGCAGTCCACCCACTTTGGCCTCCCAGAGTCCTGGGATTATGCGTGTGAACCACTGCACTTGGCCACTGCCACTGTCTTTTGATAGTTTACTGAACTGTCTTTTGCACTGTCTTTTGATAGTTTACTGAAATAAGTAGGTTGAGAAGAATCCATTCCTTTTTATCTTTTTCTTTCTTTCTTTTCTTTTTCTTTTTTTTTTTTTTTAAATGTAGAGCGTCTTGCTCTGTCACTCAGGCTGGAATGCAGTGGTGCAATCATAGTTCACTGCAGCCTTTACCTCCTGGGCTTAACTCATCTTCCTGTCTCAGCCTCCCAAATAGCTAGGACTATAGGTGCATGGCACTGCACTGCACCTGGCTAATTTTGTTTTTTTGTAGAAATGGGGTCTTGCTTTGTTGCTCAGGTTGGTCTTGAACTCCTGGCCTCAAGTGATTCTTCCACTTCAGCCTCCCGAGGTGTTGGGATTACAGGCATGAGCCACCGCCCCCAGACCTAAATCAATTACTAATAAAGATTTATTCTTTAAAGGCAGAGAAAGAGACATTGCTGTCATACCGAAACATGATTTTGAACTTACTGAATTTTGAAGCCTGTTAGTCTCATTGAGTCATATGCCCACTTCACATAGCTGTAAATTTGAGAGTGAAGATCCTGCAAATGATACGGCAGCTTTATTGAAATTCAATCACTTGTAAAATAGCATGGCTTTCCTGCGATAGTCACTAAAGGTTTGAGATACATGGAGGATTTTATAATTGCTGATCTACTTTTTCATTAAAATTTGTTTTTGGATTGATCTGTTTTCTGAATATCTATAATTCTCCTTTTTTCTCTCATTTTCTTTCTTGTACTTTCTCTGCAGAATTTAACATGCCATATAAAGAATATTTTGTTGGTTTTGTTTTGTTTTGTTTGAGACAGGATCTCTCTGTTGCTCAGGCTAGAGTGCAGTGGCAAGATCTCGGCTCACTGCAACCTCCGCCTCCGTGGCACAAGCAGTCCTCCCACCTCAGCCTCCTCAGTAGCTGGGACTACAGGAGTATGCCACCACACCTGGCTAGTTTTTTGTATATTTTTTTGTAGGTACAGGTTTTCTGCTTGTTGCTTAGGCTGGTCTTGAACTCCAGGACTCAAGCGATCCCCCTTCTTCGGCCTCCCAAAGTGTTGGGATGACAGGCGTGAGCCACCATGCGTGGCCCATTTTTATTTTTTAACTTGTCGTTTTGAAAAAATTTCAGACTTAATAAAGTTGCAAAAGTATTGCATAGAGTTTCTCTATACCCTTTATCCAGAGTCCCCAAATGGTAACATCTTACATAATAATAGTATGATGATCAAAACCAGAAAATTGCCCCAAGTAATTCTGATTGGTTATCTGTTCTGACTTGCAATTGCATTGGTGCTTGTGGATGGCCATCTCTGTTGATTTTTGTGATTTGGGTTGCTTGTGTTTTATTTGAAAGGACAAATGAGAGAAGTGCTTTTCATATAATTTTATACCTTTGCAAATGGGTTAAACTTTTCATTTTGGTCAAGAAGATGCCATTGTTTAAAATGGTAGTTCTTTTTTTTTTTTTTTTTTGAGATGGAGTCTCGCTCTGTCGCCTAGGCTGGAGTGCAGTGGCATGATTTTGGCTCACTGCAGCCTCCACCTCCCGGGTTCACGCAGTTCTCCTGCCTCAGCCTCCTGAGTAGCTGGGACTACAGGCGCCCGCCATCATGCCTGGCTAATTTTTTATATTTTTAGTAGAGACGGGGTTTCACCGTGTTAGCCAGGATGGTCTCGATCTCCTGACCTCGTGATCTGCCCGCCTTGGCCTCCTAAAGTACTGGGATTACAGGCGTGAGCCACTGCACCCAGCCTAAAATGGTAGTTCTTTCTAAATTGTCTCTCCAAATTTTCCCATGTATACAAATGAAATAAATATGACTAACTTTGTGTGTGTTTATTAATTTTTGAGACTGAGTCTCGCTTTGTCGACTAGGCTGGAGTGCAGTGGTGCGATCTCGGCTCACTGCAACCTCTGCCTCCTGGGTTCAGGTGATCTCCTGCCTCAGCCTCCCGAGTAGCTGGGATTACAGGTGCGCACCACCAAGCCCGGCTAATTTTTGTGATTTTAGTAGAGATGAGGTTTCACCAGGCTGGTGGGTTGCCCAGGCTGGTCTCAAACTCCTGGACTCAAGTGATCCACACACCTCGACCTCCCAAAGTTCTGGGATTACAGGCGTGAGCCACCACACCCGGCTAATTTTAAAACTTCTTTTTTACATTGTGGTTTCACCAGATAATTTATTTTTGCTTGTAACTGTTTTAACCTAAGTAAGGTAGTAAGGCTTTGGAAATATAAATGACAGTAATAGGATTGCTTTATTAAAGAATTGCTCCTGGCCTGTGCGGTGGCTCATGCCTGTAATCCCAGCACTTTGGGAGGCCGAGGCGGGTGGATCACAAAGTCAGGAGTTTGAGACCAGCCTGGCCAAGATGATAAAATCCTGTCTCTACTAAAAATACAAAAATTAGTCAGGCGTGCGCCTATAATCCTAGCTACTTGGGAGGCTGAGGCAGGAGAATCACTTGAGCCAGGGAGGTAGAGGTTTTAGTGAGCCGAGATTGCGCCACTGCTCTCCAGCCAGGGTGACAGAGCAAGACTCCGTCTCAAACAAACAAAAAAATTGCTCCATCTGCATTATATGTTAGTCCAACTTCGCTTTGAAGACCACTGTGGTCAGAAAATGCTGTCTCTCAAACTTTTTGTTGTCTCCGTTTGTCCACAAAAATGTTTCTGGAAATAATGTTTTTTATAATTAGAATTTTGAAAATGTTTGCTTTTTTCAATAGAACCGCATTGACAGATCAGTTGTAGGATCTGTATCCTTCCTCTAGCAGCCTTTATCAGATGGTGATGATATTTTCCATATTTTATCTCTGAACCTGGTAGTGGTTGGTGAACCTGACCCACAGTAGACTTATTTTGGGTCTATCTCATTCACATAGCCTCAAATAATGAATAGTCCAGATTATTAAATTGTTTGCAGCTTGATCTTTTCGTGTAGCCAAGTTTTTGTCTTTTGTTCTACTTGAAAAATTTCTTTGTAAGTCCTTGGAATGCATTTCTCTTTTAGATTAATGTAATATCTAAGAATTTCTCTGTACTGTGTTGTTTTCCTTGGTTCTTTTTATTGGCCTTGAGAAAAACTTTATTTGCTGCTGCTTCTTAGGAAATGTTTATAGTAACTGGGAAAAATAAGACAATGAAAAAAATTAATTTATATACAGGTGATGGTAATGGGAATTTAAACCATAAAATTATCCTTGACACTTAGAATGTCGCTTTAGATGAAGATGCTATTGTTTTATGAAGCAAACGGGGAAAAATCCAGATTTCAAGATCCCATAACCCTGTATGACTTAACACTTGAAAGTTGAAATTAAATGTAAAAAGCCATACACTCTTTTCCTTTTGTTTGTGAGTTAGGCGAATTTGGTAATATATAGGAAGAGATGACAAAAATAGACTCCATTATGTCCTGCTTGGAACCAGTTTTCATATAAAAATTTAAAAGCTTGATATGGAAGAACATTTTTAGCTATTTTTCACTGTTTTTTTTCCCGATTATATTTTGGTAATATATTTTGGATATGGCCTGTCTTGGTCTTTGTCATTTTTATCAATTTTGATTTTTCCCTTGCAAATGAGAGCTTTGTCCAGCCAACATGGAGAAGTACATTTCTAGGGACTAAACCTGGCTCCCGGGTTGTTTGCTGAGGTCCTTTTTGTGTGGAAAGAATGGTTATTACCAGGGAAGGTTTTCCTTTTGTTTTACTTGCTATCCAGATGCTGCTCAGACTCTCGCTCTCGCACAGGATCACAGTATGGATATTCCAAGTCAAGACCAACTGAAGGTAAAATCACCACACGGTGACTTCTTTTGTTGTACAGAGTGGCCCCTTCTCTGTACCTATGGATCTTGGACTCCCAAGACCTTTCCCTGAATGTGGTAAGAATTTAATAAGAAAGGTTCTTGGGAGTTCACAGACCAGGGACAGAGTGAACCTTCTCTGTTCTGCCCATAACAGAGTTCCAGTCTCTGAACCTTTCTTTGGGATGTAGCACTTCTGATCTTCAGTTCTTCCAGTTGCATTTTTCTTTGGGTTTGTGTGTACCTGTGTGTGTGTGTTTGAGGATATTGCTTTATTAGATTTTAATAGGCGTGTTGCAGTTAAGTTCATGTCAGGCCATTTCCTAAAGCTTCCCCAAACCTGGGGAAACTTTATAGTCATCTTGGTACGTGGCGAGGGTTTCATATGTTTTCTGAATTATGCCTAATTTTGTAGTAGACTGGAGGGTTTATACAGATAGCCTGTTTTTAACAGTAGATTTTGGCCTTTGTGCAGAGGTTTTTTTTCCCCCCAGGTTTGGGATTCTTCTAGCTTTGCTCACAGTGGGTTGAGGAGAGGTGTTGCCTTTATTTGATGACTGTTGTGAACTTGAGTTCTCTTTCTTGTGTGTAACCCATTGTGTTGCACACTAACTGGTGAGCCAGAATGGAACTGCTACATCCCCTGGTCTCAGTTATTTCTACTGCACTGATGGACACCTTTCCCTTCTTTCAGCAAAGTGCAGAGGAAAGTTCCACTTCCAGAAAAAGAACTACAGAAGACGATATCCCCACACTGCCTACCTCAGAGCATAAATGCATACATTCTAGAGAAGGTATGTTTTGGATTAAGGCTATATAGACTTTTGTTCTCTTCCTCTTCCAACCTTTTTATTTTTAATCTCTCCGTATGTGAAGTAGGAGAGGGATATGTCACAATTTCTCATCCTTTTCTGAAAACCTTTTTATCAGCCTAGTTACTACCATTGTTAGCTTTGAAGAGGTAGTGCTATTTTAGCAACCCGTGAGTACTAGGATGGTGCAAGACCCTTCCATGAGCTAGCATGCTACTAGAAAATAGCTACACATTTATTGATTTGCTACCAGGTGAATTTTCTACATACATGAATTCAGCTGCCTTAGACTTTTCAATCTTAGTATTCTTGTATGTATATGATTTGGTTAGAATTTTTATTTTGATTTATCTACTTGAGGCAAAGGCCAATTTTCATACTTTTTTTTTTTTTTTTGGAGTCAGAGTTTCCCTGGGTCACCCAGGTTGGAGTGCAGCAGTGCGATCTCAGCTCACTGCGACCTCCACCTCCTTGGTTCAAGTGATTCTTGTGCCTCAGCCTCCTGAGTAGCTGAGATTACAGGTGTGTGCCACCACGCCTGGCTTTTTTTTTTTTTTTTTTGAGACGGAGTCTCATTCTTGTTACCTGGGCTGAGTGCAATGGTGTGATCTCAGCTCACCGCAGCCTCCGCCTCCCAGGTTCAAGCCATTCTCCTGCCTCAGCCTCTGGAGTAGCTGGGATTACAGGCGCACGCCACCACACCCGGCTAATTTTGTATTTTTAGTAGAGATGGGGTTTCCCCACGTTGGTTAGGCTGGTCTCCAACTCCCGACCTCAGGTGATCTGCCTACCTTGGCCTCCCAAAGTGCTGGGATTACAGGTGCATGCCACTACGCCTGGCTAATTTTGGGGTTTTGCCATGTTGGCCAGGCTGGTCTCGAACTACTGGCCTCAAATGGTCTACCCGCCTCAGCCTCCTAAAGTGCTGGGATTACAGGCGTGAGCCACTGCACCTGGCCCAATTTTTACACATTTTGAAGTTTGCAAAGATGACATAATATACTTAATCACAAAGCCAAGAATGAGATATAAGAAGCCTGGTATAAGTTGAGCACTCTAAATTTGAAATGTTGAGCATTCTCAATTTGAAAGATTGTAATGCTCTTTTAGCAACTCATGAGTACTAGGATGGTGCAAGACCCTTTCAAAGGATCTTAGAATAAGTTGAGCATCCAAAATCTGAAAACTTGTTTTTTTTTTTTGTTTTGTTTTGTTTTTTTTTTTTTGAGACAGGGTCTTGCTCTGTCACCAGGCTGGAGTGCAGTGGCACAGTCTCAGCTCACTGCAACAACCTCCACCTCCCGTGTTCAAGCGATTCTCCTGCCTCAGCCTCCTAAGTAGCTGGGATTACAGGCGTGCACCACTACGCCCAGCTAATTTTTGTATTCTTAGTAGAGACGGGGTTTTACCATGTTGACCAGGATGGGTTGATGTCATGACCTCGTGATCCACCCGCCTTGGCCTCCCAAAGTGCTGGGATTATAGGCATGAGCCACCACACCCAGCCTCTGAAAACTTTTTCACATGACACCACAAGTAGAAAATTTAACACCTGACCTCATATGACAGGTTGCAGTGAAAACTTAGTTTCATGCACGGAATTATTTAAAATATTACAAAAAACTGTCTTCAGGCTATGTGTACAAGGTGTACATGAAAACTTGGGTCCCATTAGCCGGGCGCGGTGGCTCACGCCTGTAATCCCAGCACTTTGGGAGGCTGAGGTGGGCGGATCACGAGGTCAGGAGATTGAGACCATCCTGGCCAACACGGTGAAATCCTGTCTCTACTTAAAAAAAATACAAAAAATTAGCTGGGTGTGGTGGCGGGCGCCCGTAGTCCCAGCTACCCGGGAGGCTGAGGCAGGAGAATTGCGTGAACCCAGGAGGTGGAGCTAGCAGTGAGCCGAGATTGTGCCACTGCACTCCAGCCTGGGCGACAGAGCGAGACTCTGTCTCAAAAAAAAAACAAAAGGGAAACTTGGGTCCCATCCCCAGGATATCTCATTATGTATATGCAAATATTCCAAATCCAGAAAAATTGTTTTTGCCCTTGGATGGTAGTCACCAGATCTTTGCCATTCCATTAGATATGTTGTGGTCAGGCTAATGAGTTCATCCATATTTTCCCCAAAACTCTAAAAAACACTTTCTAGGCTGGGCATGGTGGCTCATGCTTGTAATCCTAGCACTTTGGGAGGCTGAGGCAGGCGGATCACCTGAGGTCAGGAGTTCGAGACCAGCCTGGTCAACATGGTGAAACACTGTCTATATTAAAAATACAAAAATTAGCCGGACATGGTGGCAGGCGCCTGTAATCCCAGCTACTCGGGAGGCTGAGGCAGGATAATTGCTTGAACCCGGGAGGCAGAGGTTGCAGTGAGCCGAGATCGCGCCATTGCCCTCCAGCCTGGGGGACAAGAGCAAGACTTTGTCTCAAAAAACAAACAAAAAAAACACTTTCTAAAATTAGTTTTTTGTTTCTGTTTTTGTGTTGGCGAAGATGTGTAAAATCATAAATTCCCCAAAGTCATTTTATGGCATGATGGCTTCTAGTCTAGGCATGTGGACCAATGGCAGGTTAAGCCTCTAGTTATGTCTGAGAAACTTTGGCTGCTGAAGTTATTTTAAAAGCTTAAATTTGAATAAGTTTATCATGCTGGATTGTTTTCTTTACATTGCATTTGAGCATAAACTGAATTTTGGTCTACCTAGTTACTTTGTAACTATTCCAGTCTATATGATATTAAATGTGTAATTTTATTCCTTAATGCAAATCCTTGCTTATTTTGTACTCAAAAGGCAATTTTAAGATATATAAGAACATGGCTGGGCACTGTTAGAAAATCAAGGCTGGGCATGGTAGCTCGTGCCTGTAATCCCAGCACTTTGGGAGGCTGAGGCAGGGGCATTACTTGAGCTCAAGAGTTCGAGACCAGCTTGGGTAACATAGCGAGACCTCGTCTCTACAAAAAATCAGCCCAGTAGAAAATTAGCTGGGCATGATGGTGCGCACCAGTCGTCCCAGCTACTCAGGAGGCTGAGATGGAAGGATCACTTGAGCCCAAGAGGTGGAGATTGCAGTGAGCGGAGGTTGCAGTGAATCAATATCATGTCACTGCACTCCAGCCTGGGCAACAAAGTGGTGCCCTGTCTCAAAAAAAAGTTGGGGGCAAGGGCAGGTATTTAAGAATAGCCAACTCAAGGGGGGATATGTAGTTTGTGATGAAAATTTGGGAATAAATAATAGTATTTTCAGGAAGACCTATAGGTAGAAGGGACAGAATTTTTATTTGTGGAAAGAATGACCTATTTTCATTTCCTTCATAAGTTGTAGAGCTCGAGTAGGGAAGAATAACTTTAATATGGCACCATTTCAAGAATTTGGCTTCTGATAGTTTCAATAATGAATAAGTGGAAACATAATTGAAGTTTCCCTGGCCACAGATAAGCCTTTTAGTCAGCAATATTGACATAATTTATAAGTAAATAGGGTAACCTTATGTTCTGGCAAGGACCCATGTATTGCAGAAATTCTTTCACCATATGTACTTCAGCACACGTTAACCCCATGGTTGCTATGGGCAGGCCTAATGTATTGGGAGGAGGTAGAAGAGAATGAGAAAGTAAGAAAGGAGCAGTAGAGCCCAACAAAAGACTGGAGTATGGGAAAGAAAAGAGTATCATGTGATAACAACAGACTTATGTTAATTAGCTGCCCTCAGTGTCATTCAAATGTACAATGTGAGATCTTTTACTTGAAATAACGTGGGGTCTTAGTATTTGTGGTATGTCTAGATACTTAACTCTAAGAGCCCATTGATCCAGCGAGGGCATATGTATGTATTTGGACAACCTAGAGTTTAGTGTTTTATAGTGGTTGTTACCTACTAAAACATACGAATTATTGAGAATTGACCCAGAATATGTGGTACCAGTGAGATTGCCTGGACAACCTTGTGATCACCTATTATGGTTTGTATTGCCTTGCTTTGATCTTAAGGGTTAGACCACTATGTTACCATCATTTGCAATGCTGTTAATCAAACTATTATCAGGCACTATGTACTAGAGCAAGTAATTCTATAGTTTATACATGGTAGGAGTGTTTAAAATACCAGTAAATGCCCATTTAGAAATTCTTTTAGCACAAGGTCATTGTTCAGATGCTTTTAGAGTCTTTTTTTTTTCCTGTCTTCTCATAGAAGACAATGCTTTTAGAGTTTAAACTTGATAAACGATGATCTGTTTGTAGTGTCATTACTTGCTAATGAAGTCTAAACAAGGGAGGAGATTTGAGCTCTGCCACTAAGACAGATACTTGATTTCTGGTTCTTTCTTTCTTAGAACAGGAATTTCTTTTTACCTATTTTATAAAGAAGTTTTAAGTATTCTAAAGATAGTCTTAGTTATTACGTATTGTGCATAGTTATCATTCTTTTCATTTGACTTCTATAGATGAAGACTTAATTGAAAATTTAGCCCAAGATGAAACATCTAGGCTGGACCTTGGATTTGAGGAGTGGGATGTAGCTGGCCTGCCTTGGTGGTTTTTAGGAAACTTGAGAAGCAACTATACACCTAGAAGTAATGGCTCAACTGATTTACAGACAAATCAGGTAAATTTCACATTTGAAGGGAAGTGGTTTTTTTTCTTTTGAAAGGGTAACATTCTTGGTTACTCTTGACCACACATTATATTCTCTAAGAATTCTTATTTACTCCTATGGCGTTAAATACCATCTGTATGCATGTGATACCCAAATCTGTATCTCTAGTCCTTACCTCTTCCCTAAATGCCCAACTTCAGTTTCCAGATGCCTATTTAACTAACAACTCTACTTAGAGGATTTGACATTGAACAATTTCAAAATGGAGCCTTTGGCTGTGCGTAGTGGCTCATGCCTGTAATCTCTGGGAGTCCCAGCCTATAACACTGGGAGGCCGAGACAGGAGGATTGCTTGAGCCCAGGAGTTTGAGACCAGCCTAGGCAACATAGACACCATTTTTACAAAAAATTAAAAATTAGCCAGGCGTGGTGGCGTGCGCCTGTTTTACTATAGTAATAACTGATTCAGCCCCCTCCTTCCTCACTTCCTGTCATTCTTCTTTGTTCACTACATGCGTTTTGGATATACTAGGCTCCTTTCTGACACTGTAGCCCAAAATTGCTGCCTTCCTCAGGCACCTTAAGTTTGTTCTTTACTCTTTCTGGAACACTGTTCCCCCACATTCTTTCTTTGCCTTCTCATGATTTAGGACTCACCTCAAATGTAATTTCTTCAAA
Source organism: Homo sapiens (assembly GCF_000001405.40). NCBI lineage: Eukaryota > Metazoa > Chordata > Mammalia > Primates > Hominidae > Homo > Homo sapiens. The sequence continues at coordinate 204,543,614 of NC_000001.11, forward strand.
GAGGTCATCCCTGGCCACAAAGGCTATTATGTTACACAGTTCCAGTAGGATCCATTCGCTTTTTGTTTTGGAGCTGTGTAGCTATAGGTGGTGGCCCTGCCAAACCCATCCCTAGTTAAAATAGCCTCCTCTCTAGCCACTCTTCTCTTTTATCCTATTTTATTCTCCATAGTACTTCTCACTTTGTAAAAATATTGCTATATTTTATGTATGTGTTGTCTGTTTACCACTGAAATGTAAGGCCAGGGCTTTTGTATTATTCACTACTTTTTCCATTACCTGGTACCTAGAACAGTATGTGGCACATAATAGGTATTCAGTGAGTATTTGTTTAATAAATGGATGAGTATTTAATAGTGTGCAAAATAATAAATTGTCTCTCATGAATGTTGTAGAAAAGCATGTCATGAAATATTCATAGATGAATGCAGAAGGTTAGTTCTATATGGAGTTCAGAAAGTGTCAGGACAAAAGGTTTGGGTGACCATCAGTATTTCTCATATTTCTTTAATAAACATCCTTGACCATTTTAAGGGAAAGAATATGTCAGAACTAATGGAATGTTTTGTAGCTTCTTAGAGTGTCACCTGTAGAAGGGAATTTAGGGAATAGATTCTATTTACTTGAGCAACTACAAGTCCTTACCTTTTAAACTCTTCAGTACTGTTTCTTAGGTGTTATACCTGATTTAGTGTTAAAAGAGAAAAGTCCATGCCTGACACCATTATATCCATCCATTAGTTTATCCACAGTAGGTGTCAAGTAGATATATGTTGAATGAATACATGTCCACTGAATAAAGGCAAGATGTTCTTTGGCGATGTAGTGTGACGACATTGAGTTTTGGGTTCATTTGTGTTGTTTCAACATCTCTGATAAACCTCTGAATACAGAAACTCATGTTTGTTTTTTTTCTGTTAGGATGTGGGTACTGCCATTGTTTCAGATACTACAGATGACTTGTGGTTTTTGAATGAGTCAGTATCAGAGCAGTTAGGTGTTGGAATAAAAGTTGAAGCTGCTGATACTGAACAAACAAGTGAAGAAGTAGGGAAAGTAAGTGACAAAAAGGTATGTTGTGGAAAAATTCCATGTTGATTCTGTTTGTGTGCTCATAGTATCATCTGTTGAGATTTCTTTGTATCTGTTTTTACAACAGATTGCTCACATAATCCCCTTTTTAACTTTAATTAATTTTTCAATCCAATTTTAAGATTCACATTAAGTAATGTTAACCAGGGCTGCCTTAAAAGCCCCTACTTAGTCAAAAGCAGTAAGCTACTCTTTTTTCCCCTGATTATAGCAACAAGCTACCTTTTCTCTCCCTTTGCTAACAAGGTAAGGTGCTAATCAAGCTTGTCCAACCCACAGCCTGTGGACCACATGCGGCCCAGAACAACTTTGAATCAACACAAATTCATAAACTTTTAAAAAACATTATGAGTTTTCTTGCGATTTTTTTTCTCCTTTTAGCTCATCAGTTATCATTAGTGTTAGTGTATTTTATGTGTGGCCCAAGACAATTCTTCCAGTGTGACCCAGGGAAGCCAAAAGGTTGGACACCCCTGTTGTAAATGAACAGCAGTCTGTAGGAGAAAACTTATTTCTTGGAAATCTTGATAGCTTCCATAACCATGTTGTACCTAAATGGAAAGATAAGATTATTTCTTTGTAGCTATTTTAGTGTTAAAATAGTAGAAAAGAGGGGAGATTGAACTCTGAGTACATACATATGGTATGTACTCATGAAGTACTCATGTGTATGGTATGTACTCATGTACAGATGAAGAGTCATACAGGCAACTTGCTCAAGACTCAGAAGAAATTGGGGAGGAGATCCAGTGGCCAGCATGTAGAAGAGTGTTGGTAAACATCCATCGGATAAATACAGCAAAGAAAAAATTGGGTCATCCTTTTTAGTTATTTAAGGGATTTTCATAAGAATTTTGAGTTCCTGAAGGATACCCTAGTATATTCGTTGTAGTCAAATGGTACCTGGGTTCTCTTAGACTAGTTATATGGGTAGCATTAGAAGGAATGCAGGTGGCTTGAATTAAGACAAAAGTGACATTTGGAAACTTTTATTTATTTATTTTTGAGATGGGATCTCACTGTTTTGCCCAACCTGGTCTTAAACTTCTTAGCTCAAGTGGTCCTTCCACTTCAGCCTCCCAAGTAGCTGGGGTCACAGGCATGTGCAGCCATACCTGGCCTAGGAAACGTCTATAGAGAGAGATGGGACTTAAAATACTTGGCCATTTGTGAGAAGGTTGCTGTACAGAGGTTCATAATTGTTTCATAATTGGTTTTATTCTTTTTATTGGACCACAAAACTAGGGCTTTAAATTTTTAAATTCTAAATTTTAAAATTTAGAACACTCCTTACTTTTGAAACGGACTTTTTTTGTTTGTTTCTGTTTCTGTGGGCATGTTTTTATAGGACAGCCAGAGTATCACATAACTAGTTTCACTTTTGAAAGTGAAAAGTAAATTTTTAAGATACTTTGTTTCATTCTTCCTGTCTGCTTAGATAAAAAATTGCACGTTTAACAATTTGGAGCTTTTCTACTCTGAAATTATTTATTTATTTATTTTTAAATTGTTTTAGAGACAAGCTCTTATTCTGTCACCCAGGCTGGAGTGCAGTGGTGAGATCATAGCTTACTGCAAGCCGGAACTCTTGGGCTCAAGCGATTCTCTTGTCTCAGCCCCCAAGTAACTGGGACTACAGGCGTGCACCACCACACCTGGCTAATTTTTTTTATTTTTTGCAGAGACAGGGTCTTGCTCTGTTGCCTAGGCCAGTTTCAAACTCCTGGGCTCAAGGTATCCTCCTGCCTTGGCCTCCCAAAGTGCTGAAATTATAGGCACCTGGCTGTAAAATAGCCACCATGCCCAGCTATTTTCTTTAAAGTCATAAATATGGGCATCTTCTCTCTTCTGAATGCAAAATTTATTTGGTAACTCTTCTGGGTGCTTTTCTGTCGTTTGTGCTACTACTGAAATGCCAACTAGAAGTACAGAATCATGTGTTTGGTCTTGCATTTAAGCTGTCTCCTTAAGTGCTAGAGATGGGAGAAGAATGTGAGTTTTAAATTGAAGCAGTTGTCTTTTTTGCTTTCAGTTAATTAGCCTCATCTAAAACAAGTAAACATTACTAATGAGATGTTTTTGCCTTCACAGGTGATTGAAGTGGGAAAAAATGATGACCTGGAGGACTCTAAGTCCTTAAGTGATGATACCGATGTAGAGGTTACCTCTGAGGTATGAATCTTTAGCAAGAACTATTTTGCACCAGCCCCATCTTCAGATGATGTAATCCCAGCAGTTCACTTGTGTTGAAGAGTGCTGTTTACCCCTCATTTCTGTCTCCCTTGCCTAGTTGCTAAGTGATGTTGGTTTCTTTACATTTTTTTAAGAGATTTTTATTGGAACTTAAGAAGGGAAGGGGATAATTTGATCTTATCCTCTCCCTACCTTGAAAAGGATGAGATAAATGCCTCTGTGTGCCTTTCTCCCTGCCATCAAATCTCTCTGGAGACACAAAGTTATTCAAAATAGTCTTGCACTGCTTTCCCTGACTCAACACCTCTCTGCAATCCCAAAGACAGACCCATAGGCTATCTAAAATTATTTGTTGAATATAAAAATAATATTGTCATTGTTTTCTTAAAAAGAAGCAAATGGAAAACAGCTTAATTTCCACACAGATTAGTATTAATGGAGGACTATTAAAGAAGACTTGATATTCCACTCTTAGGTTAATAGGGATGGATTTGTCACTAGTTGACAACTCAAGTCTAGACCCAAATGTATACCTTGCTTTTTTGTTGCTATTTCCCCATGTTTCTTTTAGTCTTGCCACAGGTAACACACTATGGGAAAAAGGTTGGTGGAGGAAGGATAAGAAGGGGATTTTACATTTTGCTGCTTGGAAAGAGAAACATTTTTAGGTTGTTTCTGGTGTTGATCCTTCCCCCATTCCCACCACACCACTGTTGAGCATTATGGTAGTTCATTGCCAATGATCTGTGTGTAGCTTAGTAATAAAGTAAAATATATTGGTCCAGTAAGTGTTCTTGACTGTAATACAAATAACAGAGATAAATGTTTCCATCTGTTTTTTTGAGATGGAGTTTCACTCTTGTTGCCAAGGTTGGAATGCAATGGCATAATCTCGGCTCACTGCAACTTCCGCCTCCCGGCTTCGAGCGATTCTCCTGCCTCAGTCTCCCAAGTAGCTGAGATTACAGACATGTGCCACCATGCCCAGCTAATTTTGTATTTTTAGTAGAGACGAGGATCTCCATGTTGGTCAGGCTGGTCTTGAACTTCTGATCTCAGGTGATCCGCCCGCCTCAGCCTCCCACAGTGCTGGGATTACAGGCGTGAGCCACCACTCCCGGCCATGTTTCCATCTTAATCAGACTTCTGTGGCTACTTGGGTGCAGAAAACCTATTAAGCAAATGGACTGTATTTCATCATATCAAAGATGCCATTGAATTTAATAAGCCCTATTATTTTATGTCCTACTAAGAAAAAGTGATGCCAATTAAACTGTGGCACACCATCACTCATGAATTCCAAATCTTTATGAAGTTCCTTTGAT